>NW_003315965.1:0-188024 GCF_000001405.40 Homo sapiens | reverse complement strand
AAGTGTCCAAAAAAACCCTGAAGTTTGCTTTCAGTATAGCAGTCTATAGTCAAGTCCCAGACCTCGTGTTTTATTTTCTTACCCAAAATGTCACTAAGTAAGATTTTGCATTTATGGAAGTTTTTCTTTACATTGCTATAAATGCAAATACTTATTTATCCTTTGACCTCCTATATCTTTATTTTGTATGCAAATGGAAAAAATGATAGATCTGTATATAGATATACATGAGTAGATAAATATGAATATAGAATTATATGAGCATGCCTATGTAAATATTTATATATATAAAAGATATTAATCAAAAGACATTTTAAATTCCCTAGCCTACACTGAAGATGCAGATGTAAACCTACTCTAACCCATATGGATCCACACCATCTCAGACTGGAACACAGCCATACAATGTTATGTTTAAATATCAACAAAGCTTCACATTTAGGTGCATTGCCTGGGAGGTAAGTTTTCGGCAAAACCATGTTAGACTCTAGTTCCAGCTTAGCATTTCAGGGCCCTGCTTCCTTTCTCACTGTAAACCTATGTGATTCACATTTGCCATTTGGGGTCTGCCTGGATGCCTGCAACTTCCTAATTTAGCTAATTGACTTATATCAACCTGAGCTGATCTAAGCAGCTCATTAAACTCACCTTGGCTGCAGAAGCTGGAAAGAAAAATGACCTCTGACCTACTTTTATTCTGAGGCTTCCCTACAGGACATATGCAATAAAGATCATTACGTTGATATACCTATGTTACCCATTTTCTGTGTATATGTTTATCTAGCCACCTATCTTATATCTATATCTATATGTACAAAAGACAGCCAACAAGAGTAGGTCAGAGGTGATATTTATTTTTTTCCCATTCAGGCCAGGTAAATTCAATCAACCATTAGCTTAGTGAAGATTTATCAAATTCAAGCCATACAGCAAATCATGCTTTTTTTTTTTTTTGAGACAGAGTCTCACCCTGTCACCCAGGCTGGAGTGCAGTGGGTGCAATCTCAGCTTATTGCAACCTCTGCCTCCCAGGTTCAAAGGATTCTCCTGCCTCAGCCCCCAGAATAGCTGGGATTACAGGCACCCACCACCGCGCCCAGCTAATTTTTATATTTTTAGTAGAGACGGGATTTCACCATGTTGGCCAGGCTTGTCTCAAACTCCTGACCTGGTGGTTTGCCCACCTCGGCCTCCCAAAGTGCTGGGATTACAGGCATGAGCAACCACACCCGGCCTCAAATCTTGCTTTTTTAATGTAAAAATGTCCTCATTACACAGCACCAGGGTGTTTTTAACTCGGTCTCATCAAACTGGCCCATGGGATTCTGTCCATCCAGCTAGAAACATTCAGACATGCCTGACACCAGTGGGCCTAACCTTTTTCACAAAGGAGCTTTGGCCTGGCCAAAAAGAACCACCTTTGGTGGTTCAGTGCAGTGTCACTATCACCTATTTGAAATGTAGCCAGGTAACATGTACCATTATATTTGCTTTCAGTATCACAGTCTATCTTATAATAAGAAACCTAGGCTTTCTTTCCATTACCATAAAGAGCCTATTTTAGCCACAAAGACAAAAAGAAAAGTGTTTTCACATCGCACGCTCATGGAAATAAACAAGAGTCCCTGTCTTGATGAAAGTCTTAATGAGAAAGAATAAACATTCTCAAATTTTGGTGAGAAACTTTGGACTGAGGCTGGTTCAACTTTGGCCGCATGTGCAACAGAAAGAGAAGGGTCAACATTGACATAGCAATGAATGACTTCCATTGCCTTAGTGTATTTTTATCTCCCAGAAGCAAGAAACAAGAAAAAATCCTTCTTTAACAATATATGTTAAATGCAGCAGGATATTGGAGCATATTTTTATTTGTGTAATTCTCTAGATCTTGTTTAAAGGGCAGATAAATTTATACGTGTATGAAAGTTCCTTTTTTTCTTTTTTTTGAGGCAGAGTCTTGCTCTGTCGCCAGGCTGGAGTGCAGTGGTGTGATCTCGGCTCACTGCAACCTCTGCCTCCTGGGTTCAAGTGATTCTCCTGCCTCAGCCTCCTGAGTAGCTGGGACTACAGTCATGTGCCACCATGCCCAGCTAATTTTTCTATTTTTAGTAGAGACGGGGTTTCAACATGTTGGTCAGGATGGTCTCGATTTCTTGACCTTGCAATCTGCCCACCTCAGCCTCCCGAAGTGCTGGGATTACAGACGTGAGCCACCGTACCCGGCCCTTGCATTTCTTCTCAGTGTGTGCATGTTCTACTCACACCCACCATTTTGGTCCTGCCTTGATAAATCCAAAGTCGTTATTTAGATAATTGGCTGATTGGATCCACCTGGGTTCTGCGAATTGGCTTACTGAATTTACCTTGGCTTCAGGAGAATACGGAGATGACCTTTGACCTACTTTTTTCTGAGGCTTTCTTTGGAGACCTATACACAGATGAATATTATGTAGACGTACCCATGTGACTTATTTTGTGAGTATATGTTTAGCCACCTATTTTATGTCTAATGTATATATGTACAGTAAGAAGCCAATAAAATAAAATTCATCAGAGGTGATTTCCATTATCTTTACCTACAGGTTAGGTAAATCCAGTCAGTCACTTAGCTCCGAAAAGATTTATTCAATCCAAGCAACACACCACGTCACTTTTTTTCATACATTTAATTATTTCCTTGATAACCTGGCACCTGGGTGTTTTTAATTTTGGGTTTCATCAAACCAGCTCACTGAGGTTCTGTTCATCTAGAGAGGAACTGCCAGAAATATTCACTAGGGGGCCTAGCCTTCCTCACAAAGAAGATTTGGCGGGGCAAATAAGAGCCACCTATGGCGCTTTAGAGAATGTTCAGTATTACCTATTTGTTTTATTGGGTTTTGTTGTTGTTGTTGTTCTTGTTGCTTTTTTGTTGTTGTTCTTTTTTTTTTTTTTTTTTTTGAGACAGAGTCTCGCTCTGTCGCCCAGGCTGGAGTGCAGTGGCGCTATCTTGGCTCACTGCAAGCTCCGCCTCCTGGGTTCACGCCATTCTCCTGCCTCAGCCTCCGGAGTAGCTGGGACCACAGGTGCCCGCCACCACGCCCGGCTAATTTTTTGTATTTTTAGTAGAGATGGGGTTTCACCGTGTTAGCCAGGATGGTCTCGATCTCCTGACCTCGTGATCCACCCTCCTTGGCCTCCAAAAGTGCTGGGATTACAGGCATGAGCCACCACGCCCGGCCTCTTGTTGCTTTTTGAGGCCATCTTGGTTGGCCACCCAGGCTGAAGTGCAGTGGCACAATCTTGGTTCACTGCAACCTCCACCTTCTGGGTTCAAGTGATTCTCCTACCTCAGCCTCTCAAGTAGCTGAGAGTGTAAGCATGAGCCACCATGCCTTGCTAATTTTTTTTTTTTTTTTTTGAGATGGAGTCTTGCTGTCTGTCCCAGTCTGGAGTGTAGTGGCGTGATCTGGACTCACTGCAAGCTCTGCCTCCCAGGTTCATGCCATTCTCCTGCCTCAGCCTCCGGAGTAGCTGGGACTACAGGCGCCCACCACCATACTTGGCTAATTTTTTGTATTTTTAGTAGAGACGGGGTTTCACCGTGTTAGCCAGGTTGGTCTCGATCTCCTGACCCCATGATCTGCCCACCTCGGCCTTCCAAAGTGTTGGGATTACAGGCGTGAGCCACCACACCCAGCCTTTAGGACCCCACTCTCATACTCACTGTATGTCTGTGTTATTCATATCAGCCATGTTGTGATGTGGCTTGACAACATCACAAAATGTGATGCTTTCACTTTTCCAACTTAGCTAATTGGCTGATCATATCTATCTGGGCTGAGAGGATTGGCTGATTGATTAACCTGGGTGGAGCTAATCAGCTTCTCGAATTCACCTGGTTTACAGTTGTGAAGGAAAATAACCTCAGACCTACTTTTTTCCTGAAGCTTTTTGCCAGACGTATGCATATATGGAGTTTGTATAAACATAACCAGGGGACCCATTCTGTATGTTTATCCACCAATCTTATACCTGTATCTATATGTATTAAAAAAGCCCCCAAGAAAAAAATAGGTCAGGACTCAACAAAAAATGGTATACAGAAGGCAGAATTAGATCACAGCTTCCACTCAGACACACAGAGCAGCGTGTTGAGACTCGCATCATGAACTTTTCCTCCAGAACTACTGCAGAAATATACCAGAAAAGCCAAGAAAATCCACAAACCCTCTGAAAAAAGCAGATGCTCCTGCAGGGCCTGGGAGACTGCCCAAATGCTGTGAATGCCCAAGCTGTGAAAGTAAGAAAGGGGGATTGTTTGCCACCAAACACACACTTTCACTGAAAAACCTGAAGGTCTAGATCACAGAAAAAGAATTTGACCTTACCTGGAGCCGAATCAATTTAGAGAGCTGAGCAAAATGCAGGAGTAGAAGCAGCAGCCAGAAAAGACCTGTGGGCTCTCTAGGTCCTCCAGAAAACCCAGTTCTGATCTATTTTACAGGGGTCATTGGGGAGGGATGCCAGAGGCACTGGGAAAAGGCCACAGGAAGAAGAAAACCTCCAGCTGAACTTTGTAACAATTCCAACTGGACACGAAGTCTCCTGGCCAGAACATGGGAAGGGTGTGAGTCCGGTGTGCACACATGACAGGCGGTAAGGTGTGAAAGTCCTGCTTACTTTCTCAGTTGGAAGGCTGGGAGCCTGTGGCAAGTTCTCAGCCCTACTTACCCACTGCCTGGAAACAGACTTGGTGCTGTTGGAGGTGGCACGGTGAGAGTAAGACAGACCTTTTGGGTTGTACGGAAGCTGGGTGAGGCCTGTAACTGCTGGCTTTCCCCCATTTCTCTGACTGACAACCTGAATGACACAGCAGAGGCAGCCATAATCCTCCTGGGAACATAACTTTGTTGACCTGAAAACCACACCCCCACTCCCCATAGCAGCCACAGCAAGCCCTGCCCAAGGAGAGTCTGAGCTCAGATATGCCTAACCCTGCCCCCACCTGATGGTCCTTCCCTACCCACCTTGGTAGCTGAAGACAAAGAGGGTATCCTCTTGGGAGTTATGGGGCCCTGCCCACTGCCTGATCCTCCTTTTATTACCACAGCTGATGCTGTTTTGAAAGCACCACCTTTTGTCAGGAGCACAAAAATAGTACATTAAACAACCAAAATTAAGAAACATCACAGAGTCCATTTTACTCCCCTGCCACCTCCACTGAAGCAGGTGCTGGTATCCATGGCTGAGAGACCTGCAGATGGTTCACATCAAAGGACTCTATGCAGACAAGCCCCAGTACCAGCCCTCAGCCTGGTAGTTCTTCTAAGTTGCTAGATCCAGAAAAGAAATAACAATCACTACAGTTCAGCTCTAAGAAAGCCACATCCCTAGGAAAAGTGGCAGAGTACTACATCAAGGCAACACCCTGTGGGACAAAAAAATCTGAACAGCAGTCTTGAGCCCCAGGTCTTGCCTCTGATATTGCCTACCAAAATGAGAAGACACCAGAAAAACAACTCTGGTAATAGGAGAAAACGAAGTTCTTTAACACCCTCCAAAAGTTACACTAGCTCACCAGGAATGAATTCAAACCAGGAAGAAATCCCTGATTTACGTGAAAAGGAATTCAGAAGGTTGATTATTAAGTTAATCAAGGAGGCACCAGAGAAATGCGAAGTCCAATTTTAAAAAATTTGAAAAGATACAAGAAATGAGGGGAGAAATCTTCAGTGAAATAGATAGCATACAAAAAACAAATCACGACTTCGGGAAATAAAGGACACACTTAGAGAAATGCAAAATGTCCTGAAAAGTCTCAGCAATAAAATTAAACAAGCAGAACAAAGAACTTCAGAGCTCGAAGACAATGTTTTCAAATCAACCCAATCCAACAAAAACAAAGAAAAGATAATTTTAAAATAATAAAGCCTCCAAGAAGTTTGGGATTATGTTAAACAACCAAATCTGAGAATAACTGGCTTTCCTGGAGAAGAAGAGAAATTTAAAAGTTTGGAAAATATTTTTGGTGTAATGATCAAGGAAAACTTTCTCAGCCTTGCTAGAGACCTAGATGTCAAAATACGAGAAGCTCAAAGAACATCTGGGAAATTAATCACGATAGATCATTGCCTAGGCAAATTGAGGTTTTTAGTTTTCTAGTAAATTAGCCATTAAAATAATTTGTTTTGTTCTAATATTGTTGTATTCTTCTGAAAACAGGTACAAACCCATAGTTATACAAACACACTTACTGCATGTTTTTACACCTCATGTTTGTCTTCAGAGTAATATATGTATATATTTAATCCTACTTAAATCAAAACTAAAAATCTGTAAATTTTTGCAGGCAGAGTGTCCACATGTTCAAAGAAAAATATGTAACAAGTTTTTAAAAATATTTAGGTCTCAGATATGTATGGATTTTATGTATACTTGTATATAATTTTTATTATGACCGTAAAATGACCCTGTAGTCAATAACAATTTAATTGTACATTTTAAAATAACTAGAAGTGTAGAATTGAATTGTTTCTAACTTAAAGAATAAATGCTGCCTGGCGCAGTGACTCGCGCCTGTAATCCCAGCACTTTGGGAGGCCGAGGCAGGCGGATCATGAGGTCAGGAGATCCAGGCCATCCTGGCTAACATGGTGAAACCCCGTCTCTACTAAAAATACAAAAAATTAGCCAGGAGTGGTGGCAGGCGCCTCTAGTCCCAGCTACTTGGGAGGCTGAGACAGGAGAATGGCATGAACCTGGGAGGCGGAGCTTGCCGTCAGCTGAGATTGCGCCACTGCACTCCAGTCTGGGTGACAGAGCGAGACTCTGTCTCAAAAAAAGGAAAAAAAAAAAAAAAAAGAATAAATGCTGGAGGTGATAATCCCTCACTTACCCTGATGTAATTATTTCATATTGTATGCCTGTATCAAAATATGCCATATATGGCATAAATATATACATACACTATATGCCCACAAAATTTTTTAAAAAATTTAAATAAGAAAAAAAATAAAAACTTAACCTATGAGAACAATAGTCTCTCACTTATTTGCAGATTAAAGCCACTGAAAAAATAGATTACTAGAGATGTTATTCCACTATGTTACTAAATAATATACTGTTACCATGTTTTACCTACACCCTTGAGTAAGGTGGGATAGGTTAAAGTTAGTGGCATAATAACACTTCATTGAGTGCACAATAAAATTAACATGTTAAAAAATGTTACAAAATTAAGTTCACATATAATCTAAAAATTTTTAATATACCATATTTTATTACATATAAGCACAATTATAATGATATACTACTAATTTTATTTTTAATTTTAACTAAAATTTAAAAATGTTTTTCTCTCACTATAATGCACAAGAATATTACTTAGAAACCTACCTCATACACTACTTAATATTATAAGTCAACCACAAAAAGCCTCTTCACTTAGATTTTCATCATGCATCTTATATTTTAATATCCTTATTCTTTTATGGAAAAGTTCATAAATAATGCCCACTTAATAAAAATAATCTCTCATATATCTGATGCAGCAATTGATCACATGCTTTCACATGTGAATACAATAGAAACAAAGAGCAGAAAATAATTTGAGAGTTCAATTGCATCATTATTTGCTTTTCAAAAAGTCTGTATTTTTTCAATAAAAAGTATACTTCCCATGTAATTATAACTCTACAAAAAATCTACTCCTTTTAAAGTTATATACAAAAAACTTATCTAACAATTTTAGTTTGGAATTATTTTCTATACTCAACACTCTGATTTAGTGTAATGTCTGACATTTCAGTGCCTTATTATTACTACTGTATATTCTCTGGTACTGACATAGACTTAATTTTGGATAAAATACTCTATATTTACTGTATTTACAAAAAAAATCTTAGTATACACTCTGATGTTTTCTAAGCTGTAGTTTTTTAAAAAATGGTTTTCCAAATTCATTAAATTTGCAGGGTATTTCTACAGTATAAATTTCCTGGTGTTGAATAAAGTTTGAGCAACTGCCGTAGGGTTTTCCTCTAGCACAAAATGTATACAACAAGATCTGTAATAGAATTAAAGGCACTAAAACCCTTTTTATATTTGTAATGTTCGTTCATGTTCAAAATTAATACACTTTTTTTTTTTTTGAGGCAGAGTTTCGCTCTTGTTGCCAAGGCTGGAGTGCAGTGGCGTGATCTTGGCTCACCGCAACCTCCACCTCCTGGGTTCAAGCGATTGTACTGCTTCAGCCTCGCAAGTAGCTAGGATTACAGGCATGCACCACCATGCCCGGCTAAGTTTTGTATTTTTAGTAGAGACAGGCTTTCTCCATGTTAGTCAGGCTGGTCTCGAACTCCCAAGCTCAGGTGATCTGCCCGCCTCGGCCTCCCAAAGCACTGGGATTATAGGCATGAGCCACCGCACCCAGCCCAAAATAAATACTATTAAAGGTTTATATATTCTGATAGATCTTTTGACAGTAATTGCATTGTTAATGCTTTAAGTATGAACTCCGTGATGTTGAGTAAGATGTGAGCAGATATGAATGGCTTTTCCACATTTTTTATATTAGTATAATTTTTCTCAAGAATAAATGCTTTCCTGTGCAATAAGATGTGAGCACTGAGCCAGGCACGGTGGCTCACGCCTGTAATCCCAGCACTTTGGGAGGCTGAGGCGGGCAGATCACCTGAGGTCAGGAGTTTGAGACCAGCCTGACCAACTTGGAGAAACCCCATCTCTATTAAAAATACAAAATTAGCTGGGTGTGCTGGTGCATGCCTTTAGTCCCAGCTACTCAGGAGGCTGAGGCAGGAGAATCGCTTGAACCCAGGAAGCACAAGTTGCAGCGAGCCAAGATCACACCATTGCACTCCAGCCTGGGCAACAAGAGCGAAACTCTATCTCCAAAAAACAAACAAACAAACAAACAAAAAGATGTGAGCATTGGTTAAACTTTTTGTCGTATTCTCCATACTTGAAGAAGTTTTCTCCAGTATAAATTATCTTACAATCAAGTGTGACAAGAATTTAAAGGCTTTGTCACATTACTCACACTTCTACTGTTTCTTACTAGTATTTCTTTTATTTTTAGAAGTTTGAGGTGTTTTCAAAAACATTGTCACATCTTTCAGATTTGTAGAGTTTCTCTCCAGTATGGTTTGAGAACTTATTAAAAGCTTTGCCATATTCTTCACATTTCTAGAATTTCTCTCCAATATGATGTATCCTATGTGTAATAAGGGTTCAAAAGTTAAAGCCTTTTTCACATTCTTCGTATTCTTAGGCTTTATCTTCTGTATAAATTCTCTGATGTTCAGTAAGAGTTGAAGACCAATTAAAGACTTTGTTACATTTTTTCACATTTATAGGGTTTGTCTCCAGTATGAATTATTTTACGTTCAATAAGGTTTGAGGACTGATTAAAAGCATTGCCACATTCTTCACATTTGTAGGGTTTTCTCCAGTATAAATTTTATTATGTCTAGACTACAGAGCTCATGGTCAGATTAACCCATATATGAGCTCTCCCTGCCACATAAAGATGATCTTTACTGAAAAGGAACAAATTGTTCCTCAACTGAAAAAGGACATTACCCACAAAAAAAAGGTGTCCCAGAAGAAACTGAAGAAACACAAACTTATGGCCTGTGAGTAAATTCAGCATTAAAATAAATGCAATTAAAAAAAGAATAACAACAAAAATATTTAAAATATCAATAAACCCTAGAAATTATGGAGGTAAAAATACAAAGTGAAATAACTGAAAATTTTTAAAAGTAATAAAATGTGATGTAAAAATGAAGAAGCTCAACAAACAAACTAGGATGCACACAAAGATATTTCTTTCTTTTTTTTTTTTGAGACCCAGTTTTGCCCTTATTTTCCAGGCTGGAGTGCAGTGGTGCAATCTTGGCTCACCACAACGTCCGCCTCCTGGGTTAAAGCGATTCTCCTGCCTCAGCCTTCTTGAGTAGCTGGGATTACAGGCATGCACCACCACACCCGGCTAATTTTTATATATTTTTTTTAGCAGAGACGAGGTTTCTCCAGGTTGGTCAGCTGGTTTCAAACTCCCGACCTCAGATGATCAGCCCGCCTCACCTCCCAACGTGCTGGGATTACAGGTGTGACCCACTGCACCTGGCCACACAAAGATATTTCTAACAAACATATATATATAGGCACAATTTTTAAAGTCACAGACAATTAGAGAATCTTGAGAGCTTCAAGGCAAAAGTGATGTGTCATTTAAAAGCATAGTCTAATGAGATAACCAGTAAATTTGTCGACAAAATTTTGCAGGTTAGGAGGAAACTGTGTGATGTAGTCAAAGTCCTAAAGAAAATAGTTGTCAAGTGAGAATAATGCTATCAGCAAAACTGTCCTAACAAATAAAAAGAAAAAGACCTTGCAAAGTAACCAAATTCGGAAAAAGTATATTGGCATTTCATATGCCCTACATATTAAAGATGCTGAAATGAGTTCCTTCCACTGAAAAGAACATGATGAAGGAGAACAACACATAATTTTATAAAAATACATAACTTTCTAAAAAACTTACACACATACACAAAACAGAATTCCTTAGCATTATCAAAATGGTGGAAAAAGCACTTTTAGTGTCTAAAATTTGAAACATAAAAGCATAGAAATTATGGTAAACACCTGTTAATGAATATGCAACATAAAAAGATAATTAGCAACATTAATAACAAGGTTTAGGGCACATGTAATGAGGAAGAAATTTTACAGGCAACTAAAGTTAATTTTTTACCAGATTAAAATATATTGTTGTATCTTTTAAAGGTTTTATGTAATCTCCAAAGTACCATAGAAAAAACCTGTATAGACTACAGCCTGTAGCTGGTACTACAGGCACATGCCACCCGCCCGGCTAATTTTTTTTTTTTTTCTGTATTTTTAGTAGAGACACGGTTTCACCATGTTAGCCAGGAAGGTCTCAATCTCCTGACCTCGTGATCCACCCACCTTGGCCTCCCAAAGTTCTGGGATTACAGATGTAAGCCACTGTGCCCTGCCAACAATAATACAATAATAGATTTATGCACTGGGAACCTATGACAAATTTGTACATAAGTTTGTGTGTGTGTGTATCTCATATTAGGGTTCTGAATATATAAAGCAAATATTGAAAGAATTGAAGAAACACATAGAGAGCAACATAATTATAGTGAGATATTTCTATACCTTGTGTTCAATAATAAAAATAAGACAAAGCAGAATATTAGTAAGGGAACATTAGATTTGCAGGCAGTATAAAACAATGATTCCTAAGAAAGGTATAGAGAATACTCCTCAACAGCATAGGACACACACCCTTTGCAGTAGCTCATAACATTCTCTTTGATAGATCACCAGTTAGGTCAAAAAAGAAGTCTTAACACATTTTTAAAACTAAAATTGTGTGGATTACTTCTTATAACCAAAATTGAATAAGAATATATAAACAACAGAAGAAACCTGAAAAATTCACAAATATCTACAAATTAAACAATACACTCTTGAGCATGCTCTTGGTGAAAAGTTGAAATAATTAATATTGTGAAGATGTTTATACTGCCCAATGTAATCTACAGATTTAATGCAATGTTTTTAAAATTTCTCATTGCATTTTTAAAGAGACAAAAACAGCAAATGCAAAAGTATATGAAATTGCAAGAGACAATAATGTACCAAAAAATATTTTTAAAAAAACAAATCGGAGGCATTACAGTTCCTGATTTCAAAAAACATTATAAAGCTAAAGAATTAAAACAATTTGAATGAGTGTAAAGGTAAAAAAAAGTAGACTAATAAAATAAAATGCAACACATACATAAATTTTCACATATATGGTAATCTGAACAGTTATTTGCATACCCATAGTTATTGAAGCATTGTTATTGTAAGCCAATAGGCAAAAGCAATGCAAATTTCTGTCACCAAATCATTCAGTAGAGACAATTAGAAAGATAAATACATTGAAAATTCACTCAGTTTTCAAAAATAAGGAAATATTCTAACAAATATAAACAAATATAACAGATCTCTGTGACTATGTCTAGTTAGTTCTCAGGACCAGTTAAAAGCTTTGTTTTTTATAACAAATCTCTGGCCCAGCACCCAGGTGATGTGACTCTCGTGCTTGCTACCTACACAAATGTGGATTTGTTACATATATACTGTCCCATCTCACAAGTAATATGATGACTTTCATATCTTGAACCAGCCAGTTGCTGAGATACTGTCTCCCAAGGCTAGGCTTAGGGATATGGGTGTGATCGTGGGTCTCCTATTTTTCTGCAGGTCAGAGGGGATTACCACACTCTCACATATGGTATAAAGCCATTGAATTGTACACAATGTGTCACCACAGAGCCCAGCCTACAGGTGAAGTTGACTTGCACATATGCACAACCCATCAACCATTAAAATTGTAACCCTCACAGATGGATAGACCTCACTTGTGAATCTTACACATGGATGCAGTTCACAGTTGGATTTGTGACTGTCATATGTGAGCATCTGGCCAGATTTGTGATGGCGAAACATCTTTAAATGCAGCTTATAAGAAGATGAGGGCTCTCCTATCTGGACCCAGAACATTGGAGAGATGTTGCCTCTCCTACCTAGGTTTAGGGACACAGATACAATCATAGGTTCATACCAGCAAGAAAGTCTCAGACTAGATTGTGACTCTCATTCAAACTGTATAAAGCCCTAGACCCAACACCTAGGTAATGTGAGTCTTCTCTTTTACCTGGGCCTCTCATATTTTGAGTATTGTGACATATTGCTAGGCCCAACACCTAGGGTATGGGAGGCTCTTGCCTAAAACTTACTCACAGAAAGCCTTGTGACATATCTCTGCATACATTACCTAGGAGATGACTTTCTCCTGCTTGCACCCTACCCATAGGAGAAATTGTGACATATTACTAGGAGCAGCACCCAGGTGATGTGACTTTCCTGCCTGGTCTCTGTCCTCAGGGAATGTTGAGAAATATCTCTAGATCCAAACCCACATGATGTGACTCTCCTGCATGCTTCCTATCCACAGGTGGAATTGTGACATATGTCTTTACTCAGGTAACAGATGTGATGATGACCCTCATTCCTCAAACCTGCCAATAAGAGAAATACTGTCTTTTGTAGGTAGACTTAGAAAAATGGGTAAGATCCTTGGGTCTCCTCTTTGTACAAAGATCATGGAGGCTTATCACTCTATTGCATGTACCATAAAGCACTCAGCTTGTACTGAGAGTGTCACCACAGAGAACAGCACACAATTGAGGTTGTGCTTTACATATTTACACTGTGGCAGTCATTAAGATCATCACCCTCACACATAGACCGAGCCCACTGAGGAGGTCCTGAATCCCAAATGCAGACACAATCTACAGTTGCAATTGTGACAGAACATTCAGCCTCTGTTAAGATAGTGATTCATTCCTAAACCCAAATCATAGGTAGGTAAAGACTGTTCTATCTGGAACCCACCAATAGGAGAGATGTTGACCCTCATACCTGGGCTTAAAGCCACAGGTAAAAATCACAAATCCATACTAGTATGAAGGTTTCAGAATAGATTGTGACTCTCGTGCATACCACATAATACCCTTGTGTGGTACAGAGAGTGTCCTAACAGGGCCCAGGAGTCAGATGAGATTGTAATACGTGTGTGCACATCCAGCTGATAGTAAAAATTGTCATCCTCCCACATGAACACAGCCCTCTTTTGAAGTTCTTAATTTCATACCCTGTGGCAGTGGAAAGTTGGAAAATTGACTATCATCCATGGATCCAATCCACAAGTGGGTTGGTTAATCTCAGACATTCAGCACACAGGTGAGGCTGTGAATCCTCAAAGAGGACACAGTTTGCAGGAGGGATTGAGGCTGTCATGTATGGACCCACTCTCTCATTGAGATTGCGTGACTCCTGTTTTTAGAGCCAACATACAGGAGGTGTTGACTCTCGTAAATAAAACCTAGACATGTTCAAGATTGTCAATCACATCCCTGGACCTTCCTAGGTGTGATTGTGACATAAGCCTCTGCCCGGGACCTTAATAATTTGACTCTCTTGCTTGGGGTCAGACAACAGATAAAAACATGACACATCCATGGACCCAGCACCTAGGTGATGTGACTTTATTCTTTTGCTGTGGCTCCACCCATAGAGAGCATTTTCACATATCAAAGTGCTCTGTAGACAGGTTATGTGACTCTTTTGCCTGTGTCCAGACAACATTGGCCACTGTGACATATTGCAGGGTCCAACACCCAAAGGAAGTAACTCTTATGACTGGGTTCTATCTACAGAGGGCACTGTTACATATTTCTGTGCTCATCACTCAGTTGATGTGACTCTCCTCTTCTGCCTGGGCCATGCCTTCAGGAGAGTGGGAGATAGGGAGAGTGACTTATTGCTAGGCCCAGAACACAGGTGATGTAATACTTCTTCCTGGTCTCTTTCCACAGGAGTTACTATGATATATCATTAGGCCCATTACCTAGATGATGTGATACTCCTGTTTTTTTCTGCAACTTGTGCACAGTGTGGATTGTGAACTTGGCTTAGCACCTACATGGTGTGACTCTCTTCTCATGACTAGGTCTTATCACTGGGTTGGTTGTGACATAGAGCTGGGCCCAGTCACTAGGTTATGTGACTCTCCTCTTTTTCCTGAGCCCTACCCACAAGAGGACATATTTCTGGGCCATTCATCTTGGTGATGTGAATCTACTTCCTGGGACCTCCCCTCAAGGGATATTATGAAATATTGCTGGACCCAGCACCTAGTGATATGACTCTCTGCTTTTGCGTGGGCACTGCATACATGTGTAATATATAGCTAGGTTAAACACCTGGGTGATGTGACTTTCCTGCATAAGCTCTGTTCACAGGAATGTTATCACATATCATTTTGTTCATCACCTAGGTGATGCGACTCTACTCTTTTCCTGAGCCCTGCAAAAAGGAGAGATTGTGACATATCACTGAACTGAGCACCTTGGTGATGTGACTATCCTCTCTTGCTCAAGTGTCACATATTATTGGTATTGTGACATACCTCTGTGACCAACACCTATGGGTAGGAAAACTTCCACCCAGACTCAGCCCAAGGGGCCCTCATCACTTTTTTAAAAGATATGTGACTTGAAAAATGTGACTGTCTTCTGCTTATACCCTGCCCTCAGGGAAGATTGTGGCATATTACTGAACTAAGCAACCTAGTGATGTGTCTCTTCTGACTGGGGTTTGCCCACAGAGACAATTGTGACATATCACTGGGCCCTAGGTGATGTGACTCTGCTGCCTGTTCCCAACATTCAAGAGAGGATTGTAAATCTTCCTGGCCAAGAATTCAGGAGATTTGACTCTCCTTTCTTGTCCCTGCCCTCAAAGAAGATTATGACGTATCTTCAGCCCCAAACCCAGGTAATGTGACTTCCCTGTTTACTCTCTCTTCAGGGGAGAAATTATTACATATATCCTGGCCCAGCTCACAGGTGTGATGACAGTTCTCATACCTCAAACAAGTCAGTAGAAGCGATACTGTTTCTTATAGCTAGGCTTAGGAAAACTTATAAAATACCTGTGTCTCCTCTTTATATGACGGTCATAGAGAACTACCATGCACTTGTATATGGTATAAAGCTCTTGAGTGGTACAGAGAGTGTTCACATGTCCCAAAACAAAAGGGATATTGTGTTTCTTGTATACACACCCAGACACCTGTTAGGATTGTCACCCTAACACCTGGAAACAGCCCATTGGTGAGGTCTTGTGTCTCACATGCAGATGCAATCCACAGTTTGATTCCTGACTGTCAAATGTAAACACCTGTCCAAAGTTGGGATGGTGACTCATTTCTAGACCCAGCTCATAGACAAGTGAGGACTCTTCTGTCTGGGCCCAATTAATTTGAGAAATATTAACTTTTCTACCTGGGCCTAGGGAGCAGCATAAAGGTCTCAGGGAAAATTGTGACTCTCATTCCTAGTCTACGATGATCTTGGGTAGTATTAAATGTCCTAACGGGGTTCAGCGCACAGGTGAGATTGTGACAGTGATATCCACACCCAACTGACAGTAAAACTTGCCATCTTTCCTCATGGATACAGCCCACTGTTGAGGTGTTGAATCTCATAACCAAAGGCAGTTGAAAATTAAAACATTGTCTCTCATTGGTAGACCCAGTCCACAGGGGGGTTGGTGACTCTCAGACCAAAATTCAGCACAGTTATGAGGCCATCACTCCACTAAGAAAACGGAATTCATAGAAAAAATTGAGACGCTCATGCACAAATCCAGCCCACCACTGAGATTGTGACTCATTTGCTTAGACCCAAAATATAGGAAGCGTTGACTCTTATACCTAGAATTGGGACATGTGTAAGATTGTTCATCTTTTCCTCAGACTTTCCTGCAGGAGTGATGCTGACATGTTCCTCTATTTGGCATCTGAGTGATATGACTCTTGCCATGGTCTAGCCCACAGATGGAATTGTGATGGGTTGCTCTACCCAGCACCTAGGTGATGTGACTCCATTTTTCTGCCTCGGCACTGTCCACAAAAGGTATTTTGACATATCTCTGGGGTATATACCCAGGTTACATGACTCTCCTGCCTGTGCCCTTTTCACATATTATCATAAAATATTGCTGGGTCCAACACCCAGGTGATGTAACTCTCATGCCTAGGACCTGCCAACAGGGGGAATTGTGACAAATCTCTGTGCCAATAACCCAGGTTATGTGACTCTCTTTTTTTGCCTGGTCCCTGCTCACAGGGGGCATTATGACATATTGCTGAACTCAGCACCTAACTGATGTGATTCTCCTTTCTAGTTTTTGTCCACAGGGGAGATTGTGACATATCACTGGGCCTCAAACTAAGGTGACGTTACACTTTCATTTTTGAACTGTACTCAGAAGGCATTGTGATATATTCCTGGGAACAGCACCAAGGTTATGTGAGTCTCCTGCCTGCACTTTGCCCACAAAGGGCATTGTAACATATATTTAGACCTATCAACTATTCGATGTGACTTCTTTTCTTAACGTGTAAGCAAGTTGCCCCAACCATGGAGGGGGTCGCGGTGGTGACGGCGGGCAGCGTAAGCGCTGCCAAAGCCGAGGGAGCTGCAGCCTTGCCGCCTCCGCCTCCTGTCTCCCCGCCCGCCCTCACCCTCGCACCCGCAGCGGGTGAGGAGGGACCGGCGCCTCTGTCTGAGACTGGGGCTCCCGGCTGCTCCGGCTCCCGGCCCCCTGAGCTGGAGCCAGAGCGCAGCCTGGGCCGCTTCAGAGGCCGCTTCGAGGATAAGGACGAGCAGTTGGAAGAAGAAGAGGAGCTAGAGGAGGAAGAAGAGGAGGAGGAGGAGGAGGACATGAGTCACTTCTCGTTGAGGCTGGAGGGAGGCCGGCAAGACTCGGAGGACGAGGAGGAGCGCCTGATTAATCTCTCTGAGCTGACCCCATATATCTTGTGTTCCATTTGCAAAGGTTACTTAATAGATGCAACTACCATCACAGAATATCTTTATACCTTTTGTAAAAGCTGCGTCGTAAGACATTTTTACTACAGCAACAGATGTCCAAAATGCAATATAGCAGTACATCAGACACAACCTCTTTATAAGGTTGGACCGACAGTTACAAGACATAGTGTACAAATTAGTGATCAATCTAGAGGAAAGAGAAAAAAAGCAAATGCATGATTTCTATCAAGAAAGAGGTCTAGAAGTACCTAAACCTGCTGTTCCACAGCCAGTCCCTTCAAGCAAAGGAAGATCTAAAAAAATCCGAGAATCAGTGTTTCCTATTCCACCTGAACTTGATATGTCTTTATTACTGGAGTTCATTGGTGCTAATGAAGGCACGGGACATTTTAAGCCATTGGAAAAGAAGTTTGTTCGAGTTTCAGGAGAAGCAACTATTGGACATGTAGAAAAATTCTTCAGAAGAAAAATGGGTCTTGATCCAGCTTGTCAGGTAGATATCATCTGTGGTGATCACCTGTTGGAGCAGTATCAAACTCTAAGGGAAATCCGACGTGCAATAGGTGATGCAGCAATGCAGGATGGTCTGCTTGTCCTTCATTATGGTCTTGTAGTTTCTCCTCTGAAGATAACTTGAAGATTCTAGGCACATTATGAGGAGGGAAACAAAGGAGGCTTCTGCAGGACTGCATCTCACCAAAGATTTCCATGAAATGTAATTGCTACCACTTTGCTGTTCAAGACATAACTTACCTATTTTTAGCACCAAGAATTATAGCATTTATAAGTACAACTTGGAACGATGGAATGCATCTGTTACTAGAGACTGTATATAAAAAGCAGCGAAAGCTCAGGGGAAATTTTTCAAAAATTGAATTTTAAAATTTCTTATGATTTTAAATACCTTGACATTGATTTTGCTTCCCATCTTTGAAGTAATTGGTTAGTTTTCTTTGTTCAGCCATTTCAAGTTGGTGGTTGGGATATCTGCTCTCTGGGATGGCATCAGTTGGGCAGTCATCCTTTTGGAAGAGAAGTGTGCTTTTGAATGGAAGATCCAAAGCCAGTCTTTGTTAAACTGCAGGGCGTACTCTCAAAGACCAAAACTATTGGCCACTTTTGTATGTTGCCAGCATATTTTGAACTTGTATCTTTTTTTATACTAGCAACACTACAAAGGAGAAGTTACTCATTTCAAAATGGATGAATTGTTATTATGTGTGAAGAGACTCTGAGTTTATGGTCTGTGCCATAAACTTTCAGTGTAATAAGACTTCTTCAATACATCTTCCAATAAGGGGTGCTTCTTTGTGACAGTATTTTTATTTCTGACATTCATTTTATTTGGGTACATAGTGTGGTTGTTGATACCTTGCAAAAGTATTGCTTCTGAAAGTAATAAAAAATTTTAGGAGAATTTGAGAAGTTTACAGAATTACTTATTCATTGTTTTCTTGGTAAGTCAGTTTAATGTTTATTTTTCTCATTATTTCATCACTGGAATAAAGAATAAGGGTGTTTGAGCTCACCTCCATGCAAAGACTTCAGTTTTAAAACATTATTTTGCCTAAAATTAGCATTGTGATGCTCTCTAAAAGAAATATTTTATAAACCCTGTTCACAGCAGAATTTCTGAATCTGTATAGAGACTACTACAAAATTGGACAAAGATTGGCAATTCTTTGTAAAGAATTTGTGAACTGTGTATAAATTTATTCTAACATTTAATAAAAATGTATTTAAACCTAAAAAAAGAAAAGAAAAGAAAAACTGAAAACTCGATTGGGTCAGATATGTCATTTCTATTCTATACTTTTTTTCTGGAAGTAGTTCCTTCCTCTCCTGATGCAGAGGGAGGCTGGCTGGGGGATCCTGGGCCCCTCTGTCCTCCCCGCGGTGGCAGTGGCTGATCTCTGCTCAGGTGTGAGGGGTGTGGCCATGTGCTGGGCTTGAGCCTGCCCGGCCCAGCCCCTCCTCACTTCCCTGGACTCTTCACGGTGTCCACAGGCCCTTACACAATCTTGAGCATCCCTCTGATGGAAGGGGAGGTGGCAGCAGAAAGCCAGTGGGAGAAACTGGCCCCACAGGTCAAGGAGGGCTTGCCCAGCTGTGGGAAATGCTTTGGTTGACCTCGGATTTCTGTGCGCCAAGCTGAGCCCCAATCCTGGCTTTGAGTCCAGGTGTCCTCGGGCTGGGCGACCTTGGCCGTGGGCGCTCTGGCTGCTGCGGTGGTTCCTGCTGTGCTCGGCTGGATCACAACTGGAACTGGTGCCCTCCAGAAGTGAAGGAGGTGCCCCGCAGGTGGGAGGAGGCAGTAGCCATGGTCCCTGTAAACCAGGCCTTGCTGACAAATCTCAGATGCCAAGAACAGAAGAACGGAGAGCTTCTGCCAAATGAACAAACTGTTGGAGCGACTGAGTGTGAAGCTGCCCAAACTCCTCAAAGTGGAGCAGTGAAGCAAACACCAGAGAAGGACAAGAAAAATGAAAGTCAAAGAAAATGAGCAGAAACCAAAGGCAGATGCTAATGCAGTGCAAAGCAGTTCACACCATGATAGAAAGAGTTGATGAGTCTCGGAAACTAATCTTAGTGACAGAGTGAAAGGACAGCAGTGAACATGGTAAGGTGCTGACGATTCTGGTCCACTGGATCCCACCATCCCTAGGACAGTAAATACCATCACAGTCACCACACAGCGAGTTACAACTGCACCATTTCCTGTTTATTCCTAAATGAATAAAGGTGATTCTCATCACAAGTGCAAATAAAAAGTTATTTATCTTTTTTTTAAACTAAAGTGTCTTGCTTTAGCTTTTTTTTTTTTTTTTAGTTCTTATAATTTTGAAAATGAAGTTGACATTTGTATGGCTTATGAAATTTTCAATAGTCTTGCATTAGTTGAATTGTTCAAAGTAAATATATTTTAAACTAAGAAGAGTAAACTGTGTGTATTTGTTTTACATAGTAAAGGCTGAAAGTAACAAATATTATCTGTTTATGATTTGAAAATTTCAAAGTTTGATTATTTATCCATACATACACAGAATAGTGTATCGTGCTGAAACATTTGTGTTTTAAAGTGGCAGCCATAGTTCCTGCCTGTCTGGATATATTTTGGACTTTTGTATGTTAAATACAACGTAAAAAGACTTTATTGTGCTTTAGAAAATCTAAGGTTGGTATACACAAACAAACTTTACAAATTACTGTAGGGTTCAGCAAACTGTGTTTATAATGTGACATTAATACCTCTACATTTTGATGTGTAAATCTTTCTTGAGAAAAGATTGTTTTTTAAAAAAATGGCTACAAATTCAGGCTTCAGTTATAAAATGACAAAATAGTAAAGAAATGAGTGGTTTGCCATACTATATGAATACTGGCATTCAATTAAAATACCAAATATGTTAATGAAAAACTTTTAGACAATAGATTTAAATAATTTCTTGATATTTTACTACAGTAATAAATATTCACAAATATTTTATAAGTCATATCTATTAGTACTAGGTTTTACTTAATAGTAGTATATATATAAGATCAAAAATCTGTTAAAAATAGATATGCTTATCAATAATTTGGTGTTTCTAAATACCCAGAAGTCTTGTTTTAATCAGATTAGCTCTGGGGATAGTTTACTAATTTCATTTTATATATGGTGTGTTCAAAGTTTTGTAGTTAAACCTAATATTGATTGATGATGGGTAAACAAATCTTTTTTTGCTAATTCCATAGGTTTATTAAATTGTTGAAGATGTTGTTAATTAAAAAATTCCAACTTTCAATGTTGTTTACAGGGATTTAGGTCTAGTTTAATCTGCTCAACCTGTTAATCAGTGTCAGGTGCCGGATTCCAATTTATTTTCAGTGCGTTTGTATGACTTTTGTTTTTTTTTCTTTCTTTTTTTCAGACAGAGTCTCGCACTCTCATCTGGGCTGGAATGCAATGGTGCAATCTTGGCTCACTGCAACCTCCACCTCCTGGGTTCATGCAATTCTCCTGCCTCAGGCTCCCCAGTAGCTGGGATTACAGGTGCACACCACCACACCCAGCTAATTTTTTGTATTTTTAGTAGAGATGGGGTTTCACTATGTTGGCCAGACTGGTCTCAAAATCCTGACCTTGTGATCTACCCCCTTCAGCCTCCCAAAGTGCTGGGATTACAGGTGTGAACCACCACACCTGGCCAACTTTTCTTTCTTTAGTCTTTGAATAAAACGTCTATTAACAAAGACAAATTTCTACACATTTATCAAGTTCCTTTTAGTAACTCAAAAGGTAATATATCCAAAATTCTCATGTTATTGTCTGAGAAAACAGATTCTACTGTTACCAAAAAATCAACTGGAAGGCATTTTTATAACCTTGCACCACATAAGAAAAAAACTGTAATGCAGTAGTAATAAGTGAAGATACATCAAATGAAAAATGGTAATTGAGAAAGTCACTTTCAATGTTTGAGTATTTGGACTTTTTGTTTAAAAAAATTGTAGTAAAATAGAGCTTTTGGTAAGCTTTCTATAGATTAACATTATCATAAATTAGGAAAAAAACCTTTAAATTGTAAATAAACAAACAAAAAAACAACAACAAAAAACAACAACAAAAAACTAAGATCCAGGACTGCATACATATTGATCCTTATTTTGGGAGATTATGAAACAGACCATTGCATGAACTTTATATAGATACCTTGCCACATGGGCATACTAATAAAAATCATTATATTTAATTTGAATGAACATGTCCACATCTTAAAAATACTGCTTTGTACTATGAATGATAAATGTAAAAGTTTTTATACACAAGAGGATCCTGATTCTTAACTGAACATATATGGCAACCCATTTCTATGTTTCTTCTGAACTGAAGCCTGATTAAGGCTTAAATGTGGAATGAGAGGGACTCAATAACAGGACATGTGGAACAAAAACAAAAAAATGAGATAGGTTGGTCATTTCTAAGTTCAAATTATTAAATAAAATATTAAATTCTTGTCCTAAGTTTTTTTCTTTCAAAAACAAACTTGAAAACTGTTCTAATCCAGTTTTCTTTCATGAAGGGCCTACTCATTGTGTGGAACTGAAAGGAGGTCCTAGGGCTACTGAAGGTTCCTGGCTGAGTCTATACCTCAATGTTACCTAAAAGCCCTTGGACTAACTCCAGTCCTCAACAGCCAATGAGGGTGTTGGCACAAGAACTTCCAGTCTTTTTTTATTTCATTTCATTTCATTTCATTTCTCTTGTTCTTGTTCTTTTTTTTTTTTTCATGGCTATCATTTCTCCTATCCGTTCTTTGTATGCAAAGTTGTGAATGTTTTTACAGCCTATGGATATAATCGTGCTGAGTAAAGTCAGTCAGTGTCTTGGTAATCAAATATGTAACTCAAAGGTGTTGTTTTATAATTTCCTAGCAACAGAGTGAATTCAAAATCTCTCTAAATTTTTACTTAGTAAAGGTCTTTCTCTCCCCCAGTAATAAACATTCATGGCACTGTATGAGAGAATATTTCACTCTGAGTTAATACCCTCCTTTGCATTTCGTTTTTTCCCTCCATGTGAAAGCTGAGCACTGTCCAATGTATCTAAACAGTTCCTATATGAGACAAGTTCATTTTTTTTGTTCTGGGGCATATGCTATAGGAACAGCCTATCAAACCCCAAACCTCTTTCTAACTTTTGCCTAAAAATATAAAGTTGGAGTTTTTACCTAGCATTTCTAATTTTACAGCACCCCTAGTGGAATGGGATTGTTCTCCATGTGAAGACTTGCCAACACTCTGTCCAAAACTTACAGTTCCCCAATTATTTTCCCTTTTACATCCCTTTATCAGTGATAAGTCCTCATGCCCTATTTGTAAACAGAAAAACTCAGCTTTCAACAGCCAGAAGAAAGGCTTTCTAACAAAACAAATCTTCAATTTTTACACATTTTTAAGGCACCTGTTCTTCATCAAACTACATTGAAATTTAAACAGAAAGGAATTTTATGTTTGAAAGTAAACTCGTCCCATTCTCTGGGATTCTGATGTTTTCCTGGGGCCGTAGTAAGGGAAGCCAAAAATGGCATTAGGGCATTCCCTCTAAAAAAGTATCTTGCCTAAATCCAACTACTGCATAATCTCTCCCCAGCCACTGGAGTACCTTGAGAGCCTTTTGCGCTGAGTGGGTCTAGAAAACCAGCAGGATGGAAAGCTAGGGTCTTGAGAAGGTGAGCACAATCTGTCCTGCCTATGAACTCCTCCGGAACCATGGGTAAAGGTCATGCTTCCATCCATGGGTAACATCTATGATGGTTGCTGGGACACAGAGGAAAAAAAGGAAGGTTGAGAAGTGGTATGTCCTTTTTCTCTTTCCTTCCACCCTAGGCCACACTGAAAAGAGAAAGGGGACTGAGGAACGCCTTGTCTCCCCTCTTTCTCTAGATAGGTAACAAACCATCGACAGTCTGCATTCCCCTCTAGTGCATTCTGAAACACTGGAACTTCTTTAACCCTGAAATTCTAAAGAAAAAGTGGCTTATATTCTATTGCATAAACCCATGGCCATCTTAGAGACAGTAGGCCTGGCTTTCTAAGGGAAGCATTAATTTCAACACTGTCCAACAAATAGATCTTTCTTTGCCCTGTGAGACAACCCAGATCTTTGTAAGCATTGTAAAATTAAATCTGCCTTCTTGGCAGCCATATCAGACAAGTCTACAACATATAATTACCAAAAGTTGAGATACAAACCCTTGGGGAACACTCAAATGTAACTTCCAGGTGCCCCAGCAGCCTCACATATTTTGGGCCCCCAATACCCATATATCATCAGCTCCTCTGGTTGTGCCACTGAAGAAACCCACAACATTGCTGTTACCCCCTACAGAAAATGCCCAGTAGACATGGTGTTACTAGTATTCAAGTTCCCTTCTAGTTGCAGGACCTTAAGAAAATAAAGTGAACCCCAGGCAAGTTCTCTAATGACACTGACTCATATATAGAGGCTTTCCAAAATTTAACCCAAGTGTTTAATGTTACATGGAGAGATGCTATGCTGCTTTTAAGCCAAACCCTAACTGTTAAGAAACAGGCAGCCTTACAGGCAGCAAAAAAAAAAAAAAAAAAAAAAAAAAAAAAAAAAAAAAAAAAAAAAACTCAAAAACAAACAGTAGGTTTCCTAGAGCCAGTCAGAAAAGAAACCCAGTCAAAAGGGAAAAAAAAGAGACATAATCCGCATTCCCAATAAGAATAAAAACAATGCCCCTTAAATATTCTAATGGGAGCCCTTGTGATCTTATAGAGAAGTGGAAAAGAAAACACTTTCTGATGTGCATATTAGAAAGTTTGCAAAGAACCACAATCAAGCATATTAATTACTCTAACCTCTCCTTGTTAAATCAGAAACCAGATAAAAATCCCATGGCCTTTTTGAAAAGGCTGAGAAAAACTTTAGTAAAACAAACCTCCCTGTGTTGTGATTCAGGAAAAAAGGTTTATTACTTAGGCAGTCTCTAATATCAGAAGGAAGCTGCTAAAACAGGCCCTGTTCAAACACCTTTCTAGGTTTTGTCATCCTCAAGTTGAAACTTTGCAGTATTTAAATAACACTGTTCTCTCTGCCTCAACTGAAGAGGTCTCAGGAAGGCACTAAGGCTTTCCTCAATTTATTAGCTGAAAGGAAATATAGGGTCTCAAAATTTAAAGCTCAGCTCTGTCAAACTGCAGTAAAGTAGATAGGTCTAGTCAGAAGGTACAAGAACACCAGGTAAAGAAAGAATTAAACTTATTTTCTCCTTTTCCTTTCCAAAAACTCTTAAACAGTTGGGAGGGATCTTAGACATTACTGGATTTTTGCAAATTCTGGGTATTTGGGAATGGTGAAATAGTTAATCTTTTATACCACCTTACAAAAACTCAAGCACCTAAAGACTCACTTGGTAACTTGGGAATCTAAAACTAAGAAGCCTTTAACCAACTAAAGGCAGCCTTACTTAAAGCACCAACCCTTAATCTTCCCATAAGGAAAGCATTTAATCTCTATGTATCAAAAAGGAAGTTAATGACCCTGGGAGTTTTAACTAAGGCTCAAGGTCCAGGTCAACAACCAGTGGGTTACCTAAGCAAGAAACTTGACTTGATGGCTAGAGGATGGCCAGCTTGCCTCTTACCAGTTTTGGTGGTGGCTTGCTGGTACGAAATGCCATGAAGTTAACAATGGGAAATAACTTAACTGTCTGCATTCCCACATAGGACTGCTGTCCTCTAATGCAAACCTCTGGCTAATAATCACCTCCTCAAATATCAAGCTTTGCTGCTAAAGTGATCTGCAGTCCAGTTAAAAATTTGCCTTTGCCTGAACCCAGCCACTTTCTCCCAGAGGAAACTAAAGAGCCTAAACGGGATTGTAAACAGCTAGTGGTGTAAACTGGTAAAAGAAATAAGAAGAATCACTGTTTATATTCTTTGTAAAGTTTTAATTAATTAAATAAACATTTTTAAAATGTACTCAACTTAATGAAAAGTGAATATCCAAGCTATAAGTATATTCAAAAAGCCTTTCTATTTTTATCTTTATAAAACTTGTTTTCCTGGAAGAGGGTTTTATCTCACTTAACTGAATTACTTTTATCCACTCTTTCTTGTCACTGTTGATGCAAGCATAGAAGGCCCTAAAATAACCTCTGGTGGCCTAAGACTCCTCAGGAAAACAAAAAAGCCACCACAAATTACATTTTAAAAGAAATCTCTGCTTTTTTTAATGAAACTCCTAGAATTAAAAGTAAATAAGTCCCTCTCAAAATCTCTTTTTCTTCTAGCTATGCTTATTTGTTAGGCCCTGGAAACTGTATTCCTAGCCCTGTCCTTTTTTTTTTTATGGGGGACAGAGTCTCACTCTGTCACCTAGGCCAGAGTGCAACAGTGCAATCTTGTCTCACTACAACCTCCACCTCCTGGGTTCAAGCAATTATCCTGCCTCAGCCTAGTGAGTAGCTGTGATTGCAGGCACCTGCCACCATGCCCAGCTAAATTTTTTTATTTTTAGTAGAGATGTGTTTTCACCATGTTGGCCAGGCTGGTCTCAAACTCCTGACCGCAGGTGATCCACCCACCTCGGCCTCACAAAGTGCTGGGATTACAGGCGTGAGCCACCATGCCTGGCCCCTAACCCTGTTCTTAAATGGCCTCAAATAGAGACCAATAATCCAATTAGAAAATTGGCAAACAAAAAATCTTATAGTTACTGAATTTTCTTCTGTTTGTTTAGATGGTTATATACGTGTTTTGTGTGAAGTCTATAAAAAACCTCTAATTAATTGGTGTGCAAATAAGCACTTCAAAAAAAATTAAGACAAAATTAAGGCTGTAGTGCCTCTTGGTTCATGTAACTTTAATATTTAAGAAATAAAAACATTCTTGTAAAATACAAACGTCTTAAAATGTAAACAGGTGGTCTAAATTATGCAGGTCAAATACTAGGTTTGTTAAATGTTTTAATGTTGTAAACTGCTTCTTTGGCCTTTAAGTACTGTCAACCTGCCAGCTTCACAATTAGTAAGGCCTGGTGACATATAAAAGTAACCATGCCCCTAACTATACTGGAAGAAGTCAGACTTTATCTGCTCCTAGCACATAATTAAAACAACTTACCAGGTTTTACATTAAAGTTAAAATTACAAAAAGTTACCATTGTAACATGTAATTGAGACTATTAAAAATGGATTTGCATGAAATGTGTGTAAAATCAGTAAAATTTTTTAATAAAAAATTATAAGAAGGCATAAAAATCTACATTTTTCTCAGGAGTGAAAGATTGTCTTAAATTAAATAAAGTGAAAGTTTTAAGCAAATTTTTAAAATACTGTAAAAATTAATTTTGCAAAAGAAAACTGTAAATATATGAACTAAATTCAAAGGAATAACATATGGTGTTCCTTTAAATTAAGCATTTAAATGAAAGCACAACAAGACTTTCTTAAGATGCTAATCTGCTCTGTATCAAAATTTCTAAAAGATTATAAAAGATTTGTAAACATCAAAGATCCATTCCAAGATGGGCAAATAGGAAGAGATCTGGTCTGCAGATCCCAACGTGATCAAGGAAGAAGATGGGTGATTTCTGCATTTCCAACTGAGGTACCTGGCTGATCTCATTTGGACTGGTTGGACAGAGGGTGCAGCCCACAGGGGGCAAGCCAAAGCAGGGCAGGACATCACCTCACCTGGGAAGAACAAGGGGTTGGGGAATTTCCCTTTCCTAGCCAGGGGAAGCTGGGACAGACTGTACTTGGAAAAATGAGACACTCCCACCCAAATACTGCACTTTTCCCAAGGTTGCAGCAACCAGCAGAGAAGAATATTCTCTCCTGTGCCTGGCTCAGCAGGTCCTGCAGTCACAGAGTCTTGCTCACTGCTAGCACAGCAGTCTGAGGTCAAAGGTGACACAGCAGTCTGGTTGGGGGAAGGGTTTCTGCCTCTGCTGAGGCTTGAGTAGCTAAACAAAGTAGCTGGGAAGCTTGAACTGGGTGGAGCCCACTGCAGCTCAGCAAGGCCTACTGCCTCTATAGACTCCAACTTTGTGGGCAGGGCATATCTGAACAAAAGGCAGCAGACAGCTTCTGCAGACTTAAAAGTTCCTGTCTGACAGCTCTGAAGAGAGCAGTGGTTCCCCCAGCATGGGGTTTGAGCTCTAAGAATGGACAGACTGCCACCTGAAGTCAATCCATGACCCCTATGTAGCCTAACTGGGAGACACCCCCCAGTAAGGGCCGACAGACACCTCATATAGGTGGGTGCCCTTCTGGGACAAAGCTTCCAGAGGAAGGATCAGGCAGCAATATTTGCTGTTCTGCAATAATTGCCATTCTGCAGCCTCCACTGGTGACACCCAGGCAAACAGGTTGTGGAGTGGACCTCCAGCAAATTCCAACAGACCTGCAGCTGAGAAACCTGACTGTCAGAAAGAAAACCAGCAAACAGAAAGGAATAGAAGCAACATCAACAAAAAGGACATATACACCAAAACCCCATCTGTAGGTCACCAACTTCAAAGACCAAATGTAGATAAAACCACAAAGGTGGGGAGAAACCAGAGCAGAAAAGCTGAAAATTCTAAAAACCAGGGCACCTCTTCTCGTCCAAAGGATCACAGCTCCTCACCAGCAATGGAACAAAGCTGGATGGAGAATGGCTTTGAAGAGTTGACAGAAGTAGGCTTCAGAAGGTCGGTAATAACAAACTTCTCTGAGCTAAAGGAGCATGTACAAACTCATCACAAGGAAGCTAAAAACCTTAAAGAAAGGGTAGACGAATGGCTAACTAGAATAAACAGTGAAGAGAAGACCTTAAATGACCTGATGGAGCTGAAAACCATGGCACGAGAACTTAGTGATGCATGCACAAGCTTCAATAGCTGATTCAATCAAGTGGAAGAAAGGGTATCAGTGATTGAAGATCAAAATAATGACATAAGGTGAGAAGACAAGGTTAGAGAAAAAGGAGTAGAAAGAAATGAACAAAGCCTCCAAGAAATATGGGACTATGTGAAAAGACCAAATCTATGTTTGATAGGTGTACCTGAAAGTGATGGGGAGAATGGAACCAAGTTGGAAAACACTCTTCAGGATATTATCCAGGAGAATTTCCCCAACCTAGCAAACTGGGCCAACATTCAAATTCAGGAAATACAAGAGAACACCACAAAGATACTCCTTGAGAAGAACAACCCCAAGACAAATAATTTTCAGATTCACCATGGTTGAAATGAAGGAAAAATGTTAAGGGTAGCCAGAGAGAAAGGTCAGCTTACCCACAAAGGGAAGCCCATCAGACTAGCAGCAGATGTCTCAGCAGAAATCCTGCAAGCCAGAAGAGAGTGGGGGCCAATATTCAACAATCTTAAAGAAAAGAATTTTCAACCCAGAATTTCATATCCAGCAAAACTAAGCTTCATAAGTGAAGGAGAAATAAAATCCTTTACAGACAAGGAAATACTGAGAGATTTTGTCACGACCAGGCCTGCTTACAAGAGCTCCTGAAGGAAGTACTAAAAATGGAAAGAAACAACCTGTACCAGCCACTGCAAAAAACATGTCAAATTGCAAAGACCATCGATGCTATGAAGAAACCGTCAATTAGCAGGCAAAATAACCAGCTAACTTCATAATTACAGGATCAAATTCACACATAACAATATTAACCTTAAATGTAAAAGGGCTAAATGACCAATTAAAAGACACAGACCAGCAAATTGGATAAAGAGTCAAGACCCATCAGTGTGCTGCATTCAGAAGACCGATCTCACATCCAGAGACACACATAGGCTCAAAATAAAGGGATGGAGGAAGATCTACCAAGCAAATGGAAAACAAAAAAAAGCAGGGGTTGCAATCCTAGTCTCTGATAAAACAGACTTTAAACCAGCAAAGATCAAAAAAGACAAAGAAGGCCATTACACAATGGTAAAGGGATCAATGCAACAAGAAGGTTAACTATCCTAAATATATATGCACCCAATACAGGAGCACCCGGATTCATAAAGCAAGTCACCAGAGACCTACAAAGAGACTTAGACTCCCACACAATAATAATGGGAGACTTTAACACCCCATGGTCAACATCAGACAGATGAACGAGACAGAAGGTTAACAACGATATCCAAGAGTTGAACTCAGCTCTGCACCAAGCTGACCTAATAGACATCTACAAAACTCTCAACACCAAGTCAATAAAATATACATTCCTCTGAGCACAACATCACACTTATTCTAAAATTGACAACATAATTGGAAGTAAAGCACTCCTCAACAAATGTAAAAGAACAGAAATCACAGTAAACTGTCTCTTAGACCACAGTGCAATCAAATAAGAACTCAGGATTAAGAAACTCACTCAAAACTGCACAACTACATGGAAACTGAACAACCTGCTCCTGAATGACCACTAGGTAAATAATGAAATGAAGGCAGAAATAAAGATGTTCTTTGAAACCAATGAGAACAAAGACACAACATAACAGAATCTCTGGGACACATTTAAAGCAGTGGGTAGAGGGAAATGTATAGCACTAAATGCCCACAAGAGAAAGCAGGAAAGATCTAAAATTGACACCCTAACATCACAATTAAAAGAAATAGAGAGGCAAGAGCAAACACATTCAAAAGCTAACAGAAGACAAGAAATAACTAAGATCAGAGCAGAACTGAAGGAGATAGAGATGCAAAAAACCCTTCAAAAAATCATTGAATCCAGGAGGTGGTTTTTTGAAAAGATCAACAAAATTGATAGACTATTAGCAAGACTAATAAAGAAGAAGAGGGAAGAATCAAATAGATGCAATAAAAAATGATAACGGGGATATCACCACTTATCCCACAGACATACAAACTACCATCAGAGAATATTATAAACACCTCTATGCAAATAAACTAGAAAATCTAGAAGAAATGGATAAATTCCTGGACACATAAACCCTCCCAAGACTAAACCAGGAATAAGTTGAATCTCTGAATAGACCAATAACAGGTTCTGAAATTGAGGAAATAATTAATAGGCTACCAACAAAAAAAGTCCAGGACCAGATGGATTCACAGCTGAATTCTACCAGAGGTACAAAGAGGAGGTGGTAACATTTCTTCTGATACTATTCCAATCAATAAAAAAAGACAGAATCCTCCCTAACTCATTTTATGAGGCCAGCATCATCCCGATACCAAAGCTTGGCAGAAACACAACAAAAGAGAATTTTAGACCAATATCCCTGATGAACATTGATGCAAAATTCCTCAATAAAATACTGGCAAACCAAATCCAGCAGCAAATCAAAATGTTTATCCTTGACAATCAAGTTAGCTTCATCCCTGGAATGCAAGGCTGGTTCAACATATGCAAATCAATAAACGTCATCCATCATATAAACAGAACCAACGACAAAAACCACATGATTGTCTCAATAGATGCAGAAAAGGCCTTTGACAAAATTCAACAGCCCTTCATGCAAAAACTCTCAATCACCTAGGTATTCAAGGAATGTTTCTCAAAATAATAAGAGCTGTTTATGACAGAACCACAGCCAATATCATACTGAATGGGCAAAAACTGGAAGCATTCCCTTTGAAAACTGGCACAGGACAGGGATGTCCTCTCTCACCATTCCTATTCATCTTAGTGTTGAAAGTTCTGGGCAATCAGGCAAGAGAAAGAAATAAGGCGTATTCAATTAGGAAAACAGGAAGTCAAATTGTCCCTGTTTGCAGATGACATGATTGTATATTTAGAAAACCTCATCATCTCAGCCCCATGTCTCCTTAAGGTGATAAGCAACTTCAGCAAAGTCTCAGGATACAAAATTTTTCAATGTAAAAAATCACAAGCATTCCTATACACAAATAACAGACAAACAGAGAGCCAAATCATGAGTGAACTCCCATTCACAATTGCTGCAAAGAGAATAAAATACCTAGGAATACAAATTCCAAGGAATGTGAAGGACCTCTTCAAGGAGAGCTACAAACCACTGCTCAATGAAATAAAAGAGGACACAAACAAATGGAAGTACATTCCATGCTCCTGGATGGGAAGAATCAATATTGTGAAAATGGCCATACTGCCCAAGGTAATTTATAGATTCAATGGCATCCCCATCAAGCTACCTCTGACTTTCTTCACAGAATTGGAAAAAAACTACTTTAAAGTTCATATGGAACCAAAAAAGAGCCCTCATTGCCAAGACAATCCTAACCAAAAAGAACAAAGCTGAAGGCATCACACTACCTGACTTCAGACTATACTACAAGGCTACAATAACCAAAACAGCATGGTACTCATACCAAAACAGAGATATAGACCAATGGAACAGAACAGTGGCCTCAGAAATAACACCACACATCTACAATCATCTGATATTTGACAGACCTGACAAAAACAAGAAATGAAGAAAGGATTCCCTATTTAATAAATGGTGCTGGGAAAACTGGCTAGCCATATGTAGAAAGCTGAAACTGGATCCCTTCCTTACACCTTATACAAAAATTAATTCAAGATGATTTAAAGATTTAAATGTTAGACCTAAAACCATAAAAACCCTAGAAGAAAACCTAGACAATACCACTCAGGACATAGGCATGGGCAAGGACTTCATGACTAAAACACTAAAAGCAATGGCAACAAAAGCCAAAATCGACAAATAAGATCTAACTAAACTAAAGAGCTTCTGCACAGCAAAAGAAAATACCATCAGAGTGAAAAGGCAACCTAAAGAATGAGAGAAAAATTTTGAAATCTACCCATCTGACAAAGGGCTAATATCTAGAATCTACAAAGAAATCAAACAAATTTACAAGAAAAAAACAAACAACCCCATCAAAAAGTGGGCAAAGGATATGACAGACACTTCTCAAAAGAAGACATTTATGCAGCCAGCAAGCACATGAAAAAATGCTCCTCATCACTTGTCATCATAGCAATGGAAATCAAAACCACAGTGAGATACCATCTTATGCCAATTAGAATGGTGATCAAAAAAGTCAGGAAACAAGATTCTGGAGAGAATGTGGAGAAATAGGAACACTTTTACACTGTTGGTGGGAGTGTAAATTAATTCAACCATTGTGGAAGACAGTGCAGCGATTCCTCAAGGATCTAGAACTAGAAATACCATTTGACCCAGCAATCCCATTACTGGATATATACCCAAAAAATTATAAATCATGCTGCTATAAAGACACATGCACACGTATGTTTATTGCAGCACTACTCACAATAGAAAAGACCTGTACTCAACCCAAATGTCCATCAATGATAAACTGGATTGAGAAAATGTGGCACATATACACCATGGAATACTATGCAGCCATAAAAAAGTATGAGTTCACGTCCTTTGCAGGGACATAGATGAAGCTGGAAACCATAATTCTCAGCAATCTATCACAAAGACAGAAAACCAAGCATCATATGTTTTCACTCATAGGTGGGAATTGAACAATGACAACACTTGGACACAGTGTGGAGAACATCACACACTGGGGCCTGTCGTGGGGTGGGTGCCAAGGGGAGGGATAGCATGAGGAGATATACCTAATGTAAATGACAAGTTGATGGGTGCAGCAAACCAACATGGCACATGTATCAAACCTGCATACTGTGCACAAGTACCCTAGAACTTAAAGTATAATAATAAAAAAAATTTGTAAAAATCTCACTTCATGTTTAAACTGGTTAAGATTAAATAGAATTATCTATAAGGTTTCATTAAAATTGGGGTTAACATTAATAGTAAACTAATGCAAGGGGAAAATTTGGCTTTTTCTTTTTAACAGGATTTTTATGTAGTAGTAAGGGCCAATAAAAGATTTTTGCTTTTTCAAATTTTTAATTCTTCATGTTGGCAAAACAAATAGCTTATGGTAATCTAAAATTCTATTCCTTAAGATTAACTGTTTTAGACCTCTAACATATTTAAGAAGGTCCCCAAAATCAAACTTCAGTCTCAAAGGTTGTCTTTCCTGATGCATGGCTTTTTGGTGCTACAAAGAGCCCCTAAAGCATTCAAAAGAAAGGCAAACAGAATTATTGAACATGTTTAGGTACATGGGATTGTCAAAATGATGTCTTTTTTTTCAGTTTATATTTAAGTATATAATATTGACATATGTTCCAAAACTATATGGGGTGTCTAAGGTTCTAATGTCTAAATATGTGCTACCAATCAAAATTAAGGTTGTTATGTTGGGTTATTGTAAACTACAAAGATAACCAAATTTTTTTGTCAGTCGTGTTTCTAACTGTAACCCTGGATATTTTGTCATTGGCAGACAATTTTCTTGTTTTAATCCTCTTAAAAATGGTTTATAATCAGCTGTGGGACTTTAACAGGTGCTCTCAAATGCAGATTTCTGATAACAGATAAAAGTACAGAACTCATAAAAAGCTAAAATGTTTATGGATATCAAGCAGAACAAAGTTAATAGAATGGATTTAGCTAATGGAAAACTAAAGCAATGCTTTTAACTTTTGCTTAAAGCATTGCTAATTCTTATTTTGTTTTTCAGAGTCAGAAAAACTTTCTTAAAAGTTTTAAACCACTGAGCAAGGTATACTGCTTAAACATAATTTGGACCTTGTCTGTTTCTTTTTGCCTGGTTCTGCTAAAAATAAAAAACTATTTATAAGTATTCTTTTTTTAAATTTTTTAAATTACACTTTAAGTTCTAGGGTACATGTGCACAACATGCAGTTTTGTTACATATGTATACATGGGCCATGTTGTTGTGCTGCACCCATTAACTCGTCATTTAACATTAGGCATATCTCCTAATGCTATCCCTTCCCCCTACCCTTACCCCACGACAGGCCACAGTGTGTGATATTCCCCTTCCTGTGTCCAAGTGTTGTCATTGTTCAATTCCCACCTATGAGTGAAAACATGCGGTGTTTGGTTTTCTGTCCTTGGGATAGTTTGCTCAGAATGATGGTTCCCAGCTTCATCCATTTCCCTACAAAGGACATGAACTCATCCTCTTTTTTGGCTGCATAGTATTCCATGGTGTATATGTGCCACATTTTCTTAATCCAGTCTATCATTGATGGGCATTTGGGTTGGTTCCAAGTCTTTGCTATTGTGAATAGCAGCACAATAAACATACATTTGCATGTGTCTTTATAGCATGTGTCTTTATAGCAGCATGATTTATAATTTTTTGGGTATATACCCAGTAATGGGATTGCTGGGTCAAATGGTATTTCTAGTTCTAGATCTTTGAAGAATCACCACACTGTCTTCCACAAAGGATGAACTAGTTTACAGTCCCACCAACAGTGTAAAAGCATTTCTATTTCTCCACATCCTCTCCAGCGTCTGTTGTTTCCTGACTTTTTAATGATCACCATTCTAACTGGTATGAGATGGTATCTCTTTGTGGTTTGGCTTGCATTTCTCTGATGGCCAGTGATGATGAGCATTTTTTCATGTGTCTGTTGGCTGTGTAAATGTCTTCTTTTGAGAAGTGTCTGTTCATATCCTTTGCTCACTTTTTGATGGGGTTGTTTGATTTTTTCTTGTAAATTTGTTTAAGTTCTTTGTAGATTCTAGATATTAGCCCTTTGTCAGATGGGTAGATTTTAAAACTTTTCTCCCATTCTGTAGGTTGCCTGTTCACTCTGATGGTAGTTTCTTTTGCTGTGCAGAAGCTCTTTAGTTTAATTAGATCTCACTTGTCAATTTTGGCTTTTGTTGCCATTGCTTTCGGTGTTTTAGTCATGAAGTCCTTGCCCATTCCTATGTCCTGAGTGGTATTGCCTAGGTTTTCTTCTAGGGTTTTTATGGTTTTAGGTCTAACACTTAAGTCTTTAATCCACCTTGAATTAATTTTTGTATAAAGTGTAAGGAAGGGATCCAGTTTCAGCTTTCTACATATGGCTAGCCAGTTTTCCCAGCACCATTTATTAAATAGGGAATCCTTTCCCCATTTCTTATTTTTGTCAGGTTTGTCAAAGATCAGGTGGTGGTAGATGTGTGGTGTTATTTCTGAGGCTCTGTTCTGTTCCATTGGTCTATATCTCTGTTTTCATACTAGTATCATGCTGTTTTGGTTACTGTAGCCTTGTAGTACAGTTTGAAATCAGGTAGTGTGATGCCTCCAGCTTTGTTCTCTTGGCTTGGGATTGTCTTGGCAATGTGGGCTCTTTTTTCGTTCCATATGAACTTTAAAGTAGTTTTTTTTTCCAATTCTGTGAAGAAAGTCAGAGGTAGCTTGATGGGGATGACATTGAATCTATAAATTACCTTGGGCAGTATGGCCATTTTCACAATATTGATTCTTCCTATCCATGAGCATGGAATGTACTTCCATTTGTTTGTGTCCTCTTTTATTTCATTGAGCAGTGGCTTATAGTTCTCCTTGAAGAGGTCCTTCACATTCCTTGGAAGATGTATTCCTAGGTATTTTATTCTCTTTGTAGCAATTGTGAATGGGAGTTCACTTATGATTTGGCTCTCTGTTTGTCTGTTATTTGTGTATAGGAATGTTTGTGATTTTTGCACACTGAAAAATTTTGTATCCTGAGAGTTTGCTGAGGTTGCTTATCAGCTTAAGGAGATGTGGGGCTGAGATGATGAAGTTTTCTAAATATACAATCATGTCTTCTGCAAACAGGGACAATTTGACTTCCTCTTTTCCTAATTGAATACCCTTTCTTTCTCTCCTGATTGCCCTGGCCAGAACTTCCAACACTAAGTTGAATAGGAGTGGTGAGAGAGGGCATCCTTGTCTTGTGCCAGTTTTCAAAAGGAATGCTTCCAGTTTTTGCCCATTCAGTATGATATTGGCTGTGGGTTTGTCATAAATAGCTCTTATTATTTTGAGATACGTCCCATCAATACCTAGTTGATTGAGAGTTTTTAGAATGAAGGGTTGTTGAATTTTTGTCAAAGGTCTTTTCTGCATCTATTGAGATAATCATATGGTTTTTGTATTTGGTTCTGTTTATATGATGGATTAAGTTTATGATTTGTGTATGTTGAACCACCCTTGCATCCCAGGGGTGAAGCCAACTTGATCGTGGTGGATAAGCTTTTTAATGTGCTGCTGGATGCGGTTTGCCAGTATTTTATTGAGGATTTTTGCATCAGTGTTCATCAGGGATATTGGTCTAAAATTCTCTTTTTTTGTTGTGTTTCTGCCAGACTTTGGTATCAGGATGATGCTGGCCTCACAAAATGAGCTAGGGAGGATTCTGTCTTTTTCTATTGATTGGAATATTTTCAGGAGGAATGGTACCAGCTCCTCTTTGTACCTCTGGTAGAATTCAGCTGTGAATCCGTCTGGTCCTGGACTTTTTTTTATTGGTATGCTATCAATTATTGCCTCAATTTAAGAGCCTGTTATTGGTCTATTCAGGGATTCAATTTCTTCCTGGTTTAGTCTTGGGAGGGTGCATGTGTCCAGGAATTTATCCATTTCTTCTAGATTTTCTAGTTTATTTGAGTAGAGCTGTTTATAGTATTTTCTGATGGTAGTTTGTATTTCTGTGAGATTGGTGGTGATATCTCCTTTATCATTTTTTATTGTGTCGATTTGATTCTTCTCTCTTTTCCTCTTTATTAGTCTTGCTAGCCATCTATCAATTTTGTTGATCTTTTTAAAAAACCAGCTCCTGGATTCATTGATTTTTTGGAGGGTTTTTTGTGTCTCTATCTCCTTCAGTTCTGCTCTGATCTTAGTTATTTCTTGCCTTCTGCTAGCTTTTGAATGTGTTTGCTCTTGCTTCTCTAGTTCTTTTAATTGTGATGTTAGGGTGTCAATTTTAGATCTTTCCTGCTTTCTCTTATGGGCATTTAATGCCATAAATTTCCCTCTACCCACTGCTTTAAATGTGTCCCAGAGATTCTGTTATGTTGTGTCTTTGTTCTCACTGGTTTCAAAGAACATCTTTATTTCTGCCTTCATTTCATTATTTACCCAGTAGTCATTCAGGAGCAGGTTGTTCAGTTTCCATGTAGTTGTGCAGTTTTGAGTGAGTTTCTTAATCCTGAGTTCTTATTTGATTGCACTGTGGTCTAAGAGACAGTTTGTTATAATTTCTGTTCTTTTACATTTGCTGAGGAGTGCTTTACTTCCAACTGTGTGGTCAATTTTGGAATAAGTATGATGTGGTGCTGAGAAGAATCTATATTCTCTTGATTTGGGGTGGAGAATTCTGTAGATGTCTATTAGATCTGCTTGGTGCAGAGCTGAGTTCAACTCCTGGATATCCTTGTTAACTTTCTGTCTCATTGATCTGTTTAATGGTAAGAGTGGGGTGTTAAAGTCTTCCATTATTATTGTGTGGGAGTCTAAGTCTCTTTGTCAGTCTCTGGTGACTTGCTTTATGAATCCGGGTGCTCCTGTATTGGGTGCATATATATTTAGGATAGTTAGCTCTTCTTGTTTAATTGATCCCTTTACCGTTATGTAATGGTCTTCTTTGTCTCTTTTGATCTTTGCTGGTTTAAAGTCTGTTTTATTAGAGACTAGGATTGCAACCCCTGCTCTTTTTTTTCCTCTCATTTGCTTGGTAGATCTTCCTCCATCCCTTTATTTTGAGCCTATGTGTGTCTCTGGATGTGAGATGGGTCTCCTGAATGCAGCACACTGATGGGTCTTGACTCTTTATCCAATTTCCCAGTCTGTGTCTTTTAATTGGAGCATTTAACCCATTTACATTTAAGGTTAATATTGTTATGTGTGAATTTGATCCTGTCATTATGTTAGCCGGTTATTTTGCTCATTAGTTGATGCTGTTTCTTCCTAGCATCGATGGTCTTTGGAATTTGGCATGTTTTTGCAGTGGCTGGTACCAGTTTTTCCTTTCCATATTTAGTGCTTCTTTCAGGAGCTCTTGTAAGGCAGGCCTGGTAGTAACAAAATCTCTCAGCATTTGCTTGTCTGTAAAGGATTTTATTTCTCCTTCACTTATGCAGCTTAATTTTGCTGGATATGAAATTCTGGTTGAAAATTCTTTTCTTTAAGAATGTTGAATATTGGCCCCCACTCTCTTCTGGCTTGTAGAGTTTCTGTTGAGAGATCCACTGTTAGTCTGATGGGTTTCCCTTTGTGGGTAACCCGATCTTTCTCTCTGGCTGCCCTTAACATTTTTTCCTTCATTTCAACTTTGGCGAACCTGACAATTAATTGTCTTGGAGTTACTCTTCTCAAGGAGTATCTTTGTGGTGTTCTCTGTGTTTCCTGAATTTGAATTTTGGCCTGCCTTGCTAGGTTGGGGAAGTTCTCCTGGATAATATCTTGAAGAGTGTTTTGCAACTTGGTTCCATTCTCCCCGTCATTTTCAGGTACACCAATCAGACATAGATTAAGTCTTTTCACGTAGTCTCGTATTTCTTGGAGGCTTTGTTCATTTCTTTTTACTCTTGTATCTCTAAACTTCTCTTCTCACTTCATTTCATTTATTTGATCTTCAATCACTGATACCCTTTCTTCCACTTGATCAAATCGGCTCCTGAAGCTTGTGCATGCATCACGTAGTTCTTGTGCCATGGTTTTCAGCTCCATCAGGTCATTTAAGGTCTTCTCTATGCTGTTTACTCTAGTTAGCTCTCTTCTAATCTTTTTTCAAGGTTTTTAGCTTCTTTGCGATGGGTTTGAACATCCTCCTTTAGCTTGGATAAGGCTGTTATTATTGATCATCTGAAGCCTTCTCTCAACTCATCTAAGTCATTTTCCATCCACCTTTTTTCCATTGCTGATGAGGAGCTGTGTTCCTTTGGAGGAGAAGAGGTGCTCTGATTTTTAGAATTTTCAGCTTTTCTGCTCTGGTTTCTCCCCATCTTTGTGGTTTTATCTACCTTTGGTCTTTGATGATGGTGATGTACAGATGGGGTTTTAGTGTGGATGTCCTTTCTGTTTGTTAATTTTCCTTCTAACAGTCAGGACCCTCAGCTGCAGGTCTGTTGCAGTTTGCTCGAGTTCCACTCCAGACCCTGTTTGCCTGGGTATCACCAGCGGAGGCTGCAGAACAGCAAATATTGCAGAATGGCAAATATTGCTGCCTGATCCTTCCTCTGGAAGCTTCATCTCAGAGGGCCACCCAGCTGTATGAGGTGTCAGTCAGCCACTACTGGGAGGTTTCTCCCAGTTAGGCTACTCGGGGGTCAGGGACCCACTTGAGGAGGCAGTCTGTCCATTCTCAGATCTCAAACTCTGTGTTGGGAGAACCACTACTCTCTTCAAAGCTATCAATAGGAACGTTTCAGTCTGCAGAAGTTTCTGCTGCCTTTTATTCAGCTATGCTCTGCCCCCAGAGGTGTAGTCTACAGAGGCAGGCAGGCCTCCTTGAGCTGCGGTGGGCTCCACCCAGTTCGAGCTTCCCAGCCACTTTGTTTACTTACTCAAACCTCAGAAATGGCACATTCCCCTCCCCCAGCCTCACTGCCACCTTGCAGTTTTATCTCAGACTGCTGTGCTAGCAGTGAGCAAGTCTCTGTGGTTGTGGGACCCTGCAAGCCAGGCATGGGATATAATCTTCTGGTGTGCTGTTTGCTAAGACTGTTGGAAAAGCACAGTAATAGGGTGTGAGTGTCCCAATTTTCCAGGTACAGTCTGTCACAGTTTCCCTTGGCCAGGAAAGGGAATTCCCCAACTCCTTGCACTTCCCAGGTGAGGTGATACACTTCCCTGCATTGGCTCACACTCCATGGGCTGCACCTACTGTCCAACAAGCCCCAGTGAGATGAACCTGGTAGCTCAGTTGGAAATGTAGAAATCACCCATCTTCTGCATCGCTCACGCTGGGAGCTGTGGACTGGAACTGTTCCTATTCAGCCATCTTGGAACCTCTATCAACTAGTTGTAAGTATTCTTAACTTGCAACAATATAGTTGTTTGCATCAATGAAACAAAAATCCTTTTTCTATTTTTTCTTTCTTTTGAAACATAGTCTCGCTCTGTCTGTGGCTGGCATGCAGTGGCAAAATCTTAGTTCACTGCAACCTCTGCCTCCCAGGTTCAAGTGACTCTCCCACCTCAGCCTCCTGAGTAGCCAGTACTACAGGTGTGCACCACCACGGCCAGCTAACTTTTGTATTTTTAGTAGATATGGGGTTTCACAATGTTGGCCAAGGTGGTCTTGATCTCTTGATCTGCCCACCTCAGGCTACCAAAGTGCTGTGATTACAGGCATGAGCCACCGTGCCCAGCTGAAAAATCCATTTTCTTATGCAGTGAAACACAATAGAAAAATGCTAGTTCTTTAGCAAGGCTTTAACTGGAAGGGTGTGTTTTCCTTTAAGAAATCAAGTTTAAGTTGCAAAGCCAGTAACAGCCTCTTGGGAAAGCTGGTCTCATACCTGTAGTCTACACAGTTCTCATACAGAATTCCTGGCCTGTGGTGAGTAAAAAAATGTCTCTTTCTAACAGACTCAGAAACACTATGATCTTGGGACCTCAAAAATACAGGAATTTACCCAATTCACAAATATTTAAGGGTACAAATCCATGGCTTAGCCCAGCTTTAGAAAGTCCTATCTAAGATTTCTTTTGGAACAGAGTTCCATCAAAGCTTATGAAAAAGGCCTATGGAGAGATAGTTACTCTTGCTGCACTATGTTCAAATAGGCCAAGTATAATAATAAAGTCTATTTTGCAAACAATTCAGTCTATTGTGAGTTGTTTTTAACTAAAGAAAATCTAAAAACAAAATCATGTTTCAAAGCTTACCATACATTTCTCATGAACTTCTAGTCTCATTGATTGTTTTAGAGTTTTTGATGACGTTTTAAACTAACCCTGCTTATTCCTGTAAGCCAACCAGCAATCTCTGCCTGCAGCTCAGAAAACAGAAAGGGAAGGGTAATGTAAAAATCTAAATCAATATGCTAGTTCTGAGCAATTATTCTGTAAATCCAGCTGGAAATAAATAAGGTGCCAATAACCCAGAGGTTTCTTTTATCAGAAAGTAAAATCAAAGGAGCTAACCAAAGCCAAGCCTCATGCACCCAAATCTTAGCAAACATAACTATAGCTACCAGGTATCAGGGTGTGTCAACAGCCTCAACATTTTTAGGCTTTTCCTACCCCCCTTAATTCATTTCAATGCCTCTCCTCTACTAAACCAGATTGTTTCTTTTTGCCTTAAAAACTATCAAGCTCTAAGTGGTAATGCAAATGGAATGACGCATAAACACATGTTTCTTCTGAGGACAATTAAACTAGCCATGGAAGAAGTCCTAGCTGCTGTTTTCTACACAGCACCCCTTTCCAGCGAGGAATAGCCAAAAATATCAATGCCTCTTCTCCCTAACAGCAGTTAGGGTCTCCACTCCTGAGGAGGAACTGAGAGGGATTAGCTAGCTAGCCTAAGGTAGACAGCAAGGGAAGGGTCCCTGGAGAGCACCCAACCCATGGGTCAGTGCATCATAACTACATATCCACCAAGCCCAGCATAATGGCACACACCTGTAATCCTAGTGACTCAGGAGGCTGAGGCATGAGAATTGCTTGAACCTGGGAGGTGGAGGGTGCAGTGAGATCACACCATTACACTCCAGCCTGGGCAACAGAGCAAGACTCAGTCTTAAGAAAAAAAAAACTCATCTTTCACCAATATTTTAATCGTTTTATGTCTGCACACTTAAGCATCAAGGACAGGGTCCTGGATGATGATAAGTGCATATTTCAATTTATAAAGTAAAAAATGACCATCAGAGTCTAATAAATGATGAATACAGCAACATCATACTTCATAAAATCATTCCAGGTATGTTTGACAAACAAGAAGGTTGCATAGGACCTTCTTGTGCTACTCATGTGAAGTGCTCTTCTCTCTCATGTTAATCTCAACTCCCAACCTTACAAATACCACATACTCACATATACAGAAAAAGAAAAATTAACTTATTTTCATAGGAGGCTGTGATTCACATTTTATTCTATTACATCTTTTCCACATTGCTGTTACAATACTGTTGAAGTGCACCCTCTTTCACCAGAAGAATACTTTTGTGAACGTGAATAGACTGACACTGGAGAAGACCAGCTCAGCACACTCACTTGAATGATCCCTTTGCTTTTCAGGCAGTAAAAATCGGGGAGTGAAAATAAAGTGACTGCGGATTAAGCAAAGAGTTATACATGGAAAAACATTTGTCAATTGTTTGAAGATTACATTGCATGGTCTACAACTTTTAAAATATAAAATGCATAGCATAAATGTTGCACAAGAAAGTAGAATAAAAATGATGGAGTTGGCCACAAAGGATAGCTAAAGCTGTACTATAGCAATATAGAAAAATACATATTTACTGTCAGAAGAAGGTAACTTGAAGTATTTGAAAGATGTTCTCTAAGAAACTAAAACTATTTTTAGTTTTAGATTCTGTAAAAAATGTTTCTTAAGCATTTTTAATTTTCAAAAACATTTGAGTGCATTTTTGTCAGCTTAGTTTCTCTGAAGAATTTAAATATAATAAAGTAATACATATTAAAAATAACTTTTCTGGCAATAGAGCAGCTTAATTTTTAGATTAAAAAAGTAAAATTTTACACAATTTTATGCTGACCAATTTAATCAAAAGCTTCTTTCTTACAACTTGGAGAAATGACACAAAGACTCAACTTTTATGTTGGGTGGGAGAGAAAATGATTACCAGGGGCTAGAAACTTGTTTCACTAATCAATGTTGATTTTTATTGCTATATTGTCTCAAATTATGTTAATAATAAAATAATGGCCTTGATCCAAAAAATTTTTTACAAACTTATTGCTTCAATCAGCCAAAATATTAACCAAAAGAAGGCATAGAAATAGAGGTATTTAACAGTCATAATTTATAGTATAAAATTAAAATGTTTCTAGAAATAAAGAAAGATATATAAACAAATAAGAAAAGGAAAAAAAGTGGATTCCTCACAATAGGTAGGGTGTGAAATCAACATAAGGGTTCATCAACAGTTGAATGAATTTTAAAAAGTGGTATATTTACACAATGGAATGCTCTTTATTCCTTAAAAAGAAAGAAGTCTTGGAGGTGGGCTCAGCAGTCTGTGTCTCAGCAAGCCTTGCAGAAATTCTGATGCACACTGAAGTTTGAGCGTCACTGGAATGGACAGTGTCCAAATGATTGCTGGGTCACCCCACCTATCCTGAATGTCAGGAACATCCCGAGTGAGACTAGTCAGTACATTGTAGCTCTTTCTCCAGCCACAACCAGAAAGTCTTTGCTTCCCCTTTGCCTTCCACCATGATTGTAAGTTTCCTGAAGCCTCTCCAGCTGTGCGAAACTAGAAAAAGATGCACACCCAAAAGCCCCATTTGAAGCTTCTAGACAGAAAGCCAAGCATTTGGAGAGTGTCTTTGGACAGTTTTAAACACAACTGTGGAAAAGAAAGCAGCCCTACTCAGTGTGAAGATGATGAGAATGAAGACCTTTATGATGATCTACTTCCACTTAATAAATAGTGACTTTAGAATCCTTAACACAGCACTCAGCTACCAATGCCAATGAATAAAATTTTGCATCACTGTTGAAATCTGTTCACCACTCCTTTTGTAGATGTTCTGAGTTGGGTACCAGAAGTCAATTATCTCATTATTAAGATGGCTTCTAAGGTGATTCATTTTTGTGACACATAATGAGTGTTAGTTGAGGTCTAGCTGTATGCTGAAAAATGCTGATGAAAAATGTTGTCTACAGAGAGGATAGTCAACTTATATTAACTGTGAGTTATACTAGGAGCTATACTTAATTCATTTAGACTTTATTTGGTCAGCTTTTTTTATATTTCATAAAAAGAAGAAAGATTAAAAAAAGAAGTCTTTTTAAATATATATTCTGCTCAAATCACCATTTCCTTTTTTTTCTGATTCAAAGGACTTTTTCAAGATCTTTCAGGGATTATATTTTCTTTCACCTTCTATCTGCATTCTCTTTCTTCAGCCAATTGATTAAAAAAGAGATGCAGAGAAGACACATTTGCTTCTCATCCACACATCACTTCCACTTGCTATTAGTCATTGTGAGTAGAGCTGAGAATAGCAGCTTTCTAGCATGACAGCAACTTCTCAGAAAAAAGCAACACTCGGAAACAAAACTATAAATCTTTTCAAAAGCTAATGTATTTTAAGCAAAATAAGCAGATGCATCAATAATAAAATGCTTGTGGTAGAATCGATTTATTTTGTTGATTTCTATTGAGTTCAGATAAGATTTGACCAAAAGCTAGCAAATATAGAGCAGAAAGAAGAATATTATCTGAAATCAGAATATGGTAAATGAAGTTAATTTGTCAAAAGAAATAAGAATATTATGACCTCATGCTAATAGTCTCATCTATGGTTGTAAAACATCAAATGCTACTTTTTATTATAAACTGTAGTTCATATAAGTATTCCATTTATATCACCCTCTTTCACTATTTCAATGTCTTCTCCACTTTGTATCAGTGGAAAACAGGTCAGCTGCTTCCAGGAAAGCAGGCAATGCTCTTCTTACTTTAACAATGATGATGAAGAGCACTTGTTTTGGTGATACTCCCATGCCAAAAACTGTTATTTTGCCTGAAGTACTCTATATTTGTTAATAAAATAAAATTATTAACCAAGAGGAATTTATCCATTCAAGTTTTATGGAATTTTGGTTACATTTAAGTGTCTCTGACTTTCGTGGAATATTGAAATTTTTATGAATCTAAATAGAGTACTATAAATAACCTTTTACTAAAAGACTTTTTGAAGTGGAGTGATATTTATAAAAACTTTTCATAGCATTGAAGAAATGTTTTAACCATGTTCCCAGTAACTACTCTGAGCACAGAATTTTCCATTTTTAGAATTCGCTCTGAGTCACTCAGGGGAAATTGATATCTTTACGAATGGGCAAAAAAAGGTGCTGAGTGGAGGTGCAACACATTGCACATCAATGCTTTTCACATGCAACTACTAGGGTCTTAATTTGATTGAACTCTCATTTGCATAGCTAGACACTTACTGAATCTAGTCATACTATTTTTTGGCAACTAATGCCATGTTTGTTACCCATTAGTTTTATACACTTATTTGCTTGGCTGAAAAAACTTAATCTTCTCTTAATTTACTCTAAATTGAGAGACTAGATTTACAGTCTGGGTCTATAATAGTAGTTGAATGTTTTTAATACTATTCTTGGCAAATTCTCATATATTCACATTCAAAACAGATATAAATTTTATGAAAAGGAGTTGACAAAAAGTAAAAAATTTCAAATAGGTTAAGTAAGTTTTGAGATCTATTGCACAGCAGGGTAACTATAGTAAACTATAAACTATTCCATATTTCAGAATAACTAAGAGTAAATTCCAAATGTACCACCACAAAAATGATAGGTAAGCAAGTTCATAGATATGTTATTAAATGAAACTTAATTATTCAATATTTTATACATATACTAAAACATCACATTGTATCCCATAACTTTATGCAACTGTGATTTGCCAATCAAAAATACTAATACATTTTTTAATAAGAAAGAGTGAAATAAGCTTTAAAATATTGCACCAGAGAAAAATGTGGCTGTTAATCTTAAAATTTTAGGAAACATATACATATATGTATATTTTATTTCAAATGGCTTGCTCATTTACAGATGTAGGTAAGTAAACTTTTAATATCATGAACAGTCAGAACCCAGCACTCAGAAATAGGCTGTTGATTTTTAATGTTCAAAATAATATAGTACTTTAAAAGACAGACTCTAAAGCAACTGTTTACAGTAAAATTCTAAGTTTTTAAACAAATGATTTCCTTCACTTGTTAGAAAAAAATTTTAATATATATTTTTAAACTATATTGAAATTTATCAAATTAACATAAATTTATTAAACAAGTAAAAAAATGTGCCTTCTTGTCTCTAATTATAAAACTGACAGAGACTCTGCATTTAACCAAATACTTTGGTAAATGGATTTTAACAATGATATCTCTCATGACTTAAAACAGCCACTAGTTTTAATTTAGAAGTATATTAAATTTTTATATTAAAATCTAGGATTAGTCTATTATTACATAGAAAATTTGTGGTCTGCATGTACATCATCATCCATTGAATGGTCCACAGTTTCTGAGTTTCAGAAATGTTAATATAAGAATACTTCTTCTGATTGAATAATTTAAGTTTTCTCAGTAACTAAAAAAGATTGGAATTACTGATCACTCACTTATAATGTGGTTTTAAATGTTATTTAATGAAGATATATAAAGTTTCTTTTAAAATCATTTTAACAACATATTTCTCTTGCTTTTCACTTTTATTAGAAAATAAGTATGAAAATTTATGTTACCACAAGACTATAAATTTTATTTAAATCTAGACATAATGCTAATCTTAAAAGATCTGTATGTTTAAGATTATGGATAACCAATTTACACTTAAAAGATAAATAACTGCTTTCCAGTAAATCAAATGGGGCAATTTTGACTCTCAATTATAAGCTATTAAAATATTAATACTATCACCTATGTGGAAATTTTAGGTATCTGCATGTTCATGTTTTTTAGCATATAATAAATCAGAAACTATAAATTTTTATAAACTATAAATAATAAACTAAAAATTTAAAGTATCACTTTTTGTCAGTTTTGAAATACTGTCATTATTTCTAGGTGATATAACACTCAATTACAGAGGCTGTGGCTGTTGAAATTAGAAATGTCATGGTTGATTCTTCTTTACTTGCTGCCTTTTTATTTCACACAAACTCAGCAGCACAAGGAAGGCAAGAAATGCTACACCTTGATTGCAAACACACCAGTGCCTTTCAAAGGAGAATAAATGTCTGAGCATATTCTCTTGAAATTCATGGCATCTTTTGCTCAAGTACAGACTTTCATATGGAAAATAATAAAGACAATAATTTCACATGGCAATAGCATAAGAAAAGTACTCTAAAAATACCTTCTGACCCATTATTTCTATTTTTCACAAGAATGATTGTGATGGAATGAGCATTTGCAGCACTGTGGTCATAAATAACCCCCACTTTCTGTTGAATTATTTTTGGAATGTGACTATAAGACTTTTGTGCTTTTTTTTTGGAAAAAATATTTTATATTTCTAATTCAGTGATTTAGCATAATTTTTAGTCTCACACTTTCAAAAATAGTTCATTCTGAAAAAAATAAGACTAAACCACTTACCACCTTTTCCCCCAAAAGAGTAACAAATTAAATCTATAGTCTACTGCACAGTTAATACATAAACGATAAAGGTGTAATTTGTTTTACCTGCACACTTGAAAATAAAACACTTTTTGGGCTATAGACCAAGAACTTTCAGAGAGGTTAGCTTATAAAATGTGAGGAGACCTGGTATAGAAACATTCACCACTATGCCTTAAGGGGTGAAAATTTGTCTTTCACCCCTAATTTCAACCATTAACCCAGAGCTGGAAAAATAGAACATGTCATTATACCAAAAAGCATTTTATTATTTTTATTTTATATTTAAGGGGTACATGTGCAGATTCGTAAAACAGGTAGACTACATGATATTGAGGTTTGAACACTTAATTATTCCATTGTCTGAGTAGTTTACATCATACCTAAGCCAATTTTCAATGCTTGTCACCCTTCCTTCTCTTATTGTTTTCATCTTTGTTTCCATGTGCGCCCAATTTTTAGCGTCCATGTATGAGTGAGAACATGTGGCATTTGTTTTTCTGATGCATCAGTTTGCTTAGAATAATGGCCTTCTGTTGCATTCATGTTGCGGCAAAAGACATTACTTCATTCTCTTCCATTGCTGCGTAGTATTGGAGGTTGTATAAGTACATCATTTTTCTTATCCAATAAAAGATTCATGGGCAACTGGTTTAATTCTGTTTTTGCTATTGTGAATAGTGTTGCAATGAACATGTGAGTGCTTGTGTCTCTTTGGCAAAATTATTTATTCTTTTTTGGGGCAGATACCCACTAATGGGCTAGATTAGTCAAATGGCAATTCTATTTCTAGTTCTTTGAGAAGTCTCCAAACTGCTTTGCACAGGCCCTGAATTAATTTGCATTCCCACCAACAGTGTAGAAAGATTTTCTTTTCTCTGCAACTTTAACATCTTATTTATCTTACTTTTAATAACAGTCATTCTTACTGGTGTGAAATGGTATCACACTGTCACTTTGATTTACATCTTCCTGATAATTAGGAATGTTGAGCAATTTTTACATGTTTATTGGCAGTGCTTATGTCTTCCTTTGAGAAGAAGCTGGCTATTCATATCATTTGTTTGCTTTTTTATTAAATGGTTTATAGATTCTGCATATTAATCCTTCATTGTCGGCAGTTTGCAAATATTTTATTTCATACTGTAGGTCATCTGTTTACTTTGTTGATAGTTTCTTTCACTGTGCAGAAGTTCTTTGCCTTAATTAGATGTCATTTTTTATTTTTATTTTTGTCGCACTCATGTTCATGTTAGTCATAAATTCTTTAGAGAGGCCAATATTTTCTAAGTGTTCTTCTAAGAATTTTGTAGCTTGAAGACTCACAGATCAAGTCTTTAATTTATGTTGTTATTTTTTTATATAGAAAAAGGTAGGACTCCAGTTTTCTTCCACATATGACTAACAAGTTTTCCCAGTATTATTTACTGAATAGGGATTTAATTCTGTTGGCTTTGTAAAAATAACCTGGTTGTAAAGTATAGCTTAATTCAGGACTGTCTCTTCCATTTCATTGGTCTATATGTATATTTTTGTACCAGAATCATGTTATACTGGTTACTCTGATGCAATCTTGGCTCACTGCAACCTCCACCTCCCAGTTCAAGTGGTTCTCTTGCCTCAGCCTCCCAAGTAGCTAGAATTACAGGCATGTGCCACCACATCTGGCTAATTTTTTGTATTTAGTAGAGACGCAGGTTTCACCGTGTTGGCCAGGGTGGTCTCAAACTTCTGACCTCAGGTGATCCATCTGTGTAAGCCTCCCAAAGGGCTGAGATGACAGGCATGAGCCACCACACTCAGCCCAGATTTATTCTTTTAGTTTGAAGTTGTCTTGGCTATTTGAGCTCTTTAATTCTTTTGTATATATTTTAGAATAGTTTTCTTTTTCTAATTCTATAAAAAAGCATCATGGATAGTCTGATAAAAATAGCACTTAATCTGTAGGTTGCTTTAGTCAGAATGACCATTTTAATTATATTCTTTGAATCCATCAGCATGCAATATTTTTCCATTTATTTGCATTCTCGCTCATTTCTTTCAGCAATGTTTTCTTCTTCTTTGTACAGATATTTTAGCTCCTTGATTTAATGTATTTCTTGTTTTTTTTTTTTGTTTGTGGCTATTGTAAATAGAGCTGTGTTTTTTATTTTGTTCTGTTTGAATATTATTGGTGTATAGAAGTGCTATGCATTTGTGTTGATTTTGTATTCTGAGGTTTTTTTGGAGTCTTTTTTCAGGCTTCAGAGTCTTCTGGTGAAATCTTTAAAGTATTCTAGGTAGACAATTCTATCATCAGTAAAGATAACTTGACTTTGTTTTCTGTTTGGATTCCTTTTATTTCTCTGGCTAGGACTTCGTAACTTCAATAGGACTGTTTAGAATGGATATTCTTGTCTTATTTTTATTCTTATGGAGAATGCTTTCAGTTTCTGCTTTTTTAGTATGATGTTGGCTAAGGATTTGTCATAGATGACTCATTATTTTGGGGTATGTTTCATCAATGTCTAGTGTGTTGACAATATTTTTATGAGTCAATATTGGATTTTCTTGAATGCCTTTTCTGCCCCATTGTGTTAAATATTTTTTATTTTATTTTTACATGGTGATCATACTTATTGACTTGCATATGATGAAACATCTTTGCATTTATGGAATAAAGTTCACATCATTGTAGCAAAATAACTTTCTGATTTGCTTTTGAATTCAGTTTGCTAGTATTTCATGGAGGATTATTGTTCCAATATTCACCCAGAATATTGAACTGTAGTTTCTGTTTTTGTTGTGTCTTCACTAGATTTTAGTTTCATGTATTTCACTGATTTCATATAATTAGTTAGGGTGAAATCCCACCTTGATTTTTTGGAATACATTCAGTAGGCTTAGGACCAGCTTATCTTCGTATATGTGGTAAAACTTGTCTGTGATTTCATATGATCCAGGGCTTTTTATGATTAGTAGGTCTATTATTACTTATTAAATGTCATTATACATCTTATACATTTTTGTTGTTAAAGATTGCTGTTATTAGGCCAGGTGCGGTGGCTCAGGCCTGTAATCCCAGCATTTTGGGAGGACAAGGTGGGCAGATCACGAAGTAAGGAGATCGAGACCATCCTGGCTAAAATGGTGAAACCCCACCTCTACTAAAAATACAAAAAATTAGCCGGGCTTGGTGGCGGGAGCCTGTAGCCCAGCTAATTGGGAGTCTGAGGTGGGAGAATGGCATGAACCCATGAGGCAGAGCTTGCAGTGAGCCAAGATCACGCCACTGCATTCCAGCCTGGGTGACCGAGTGAGACTCCATCTCAAAAACAAAACAAAACAAAAACAAACAACAACAAAACAACAAAAAAAAAGACTTCTGATTTTCTGGTTCAATCTTGAGAAGTTTTGTGCATCCGGGAGTTTATCTATTTTCTCTAAATCTTCTACTTTGCATGCATGTTCATAGAAGTCTCTGAGAATATTTTTAAATCTATGTAGAATTAGATGTGATTTCACATCTCTAACATTTAAATAAATGCAGAATAAGAGTTAAACAAAATTCAACATTCCTTCATGATAAATTTCTGAAAAAAGTAGGTATAGGACAAACGAACCTCAAGCCAATAAATGCCACATATAACAAACAAACAAAAAAAAGCACAGCTAATAACATACTAAACAGGGAAATCTTGTAAGCTTTTACTCTAAGAGCAAGAAGACAAAAATGCCCACTTTCTTCAGTCTTATTAAACATAGTATGAACTATCCAAGACAGAAATATTAGAAAATAAAATCAAAGTGCTGAGATTAGAAAAATTGTTAAATTATTCCTTTGCAATTTTTTATTTCTATACATAATCTTAAGTAAACAAAAGCCTAAGACATTACTAAAAATTAGTAGGACTAATAAACAAATTTATTGAACTTTCAGAATACAAAAGCAACATCCAAGTGTCAGTAGAATTTCTATATATTGACAACTATCTCTAAATGAAATGACAGAAATTAATACACAATTGGAAAATATTACTCCTTTATAAATTGGCATTACTAATATTGTTAAGCATCTGTATTATACAAAATGATGTACAGATATAATGCAACCTCTATCAAAATACCAGTGATATAATTAACAAATTTAAAAAACTACATCTAAAATTTATAGGGTACCACAAGAGAACCTGAATAGCCAAAGCAACCAAGCCGTAGAAAAAGTGAAGGTATCACTACCTGACTTTGAAATATATTAAAAGTTTTAGTAAAAAAAAAAAAAAAAAAGTACGGTACTTGCACAAAAACAGACACACAGGCCAGTAGAGAAGAAAAAGGAGACTAAAATATACTGATGTATTTACAGCCATCTGCTTTTTAAATAAAGGTGGCAATTTCTTAGGGAAAAGGCAGTATCTTCAATAAATGGTGTTGAGAAAACTTTATATCCACATGCAGAGGAATATAATAAGACCCTCAACTCACACCATATATAAATAAATTAGATATTTAAATAAAATAAAAACACAAAATAAATTTGATACTTAAATGTAAGGTCTAAAACTCTGAAACTACTACAAAAAATAAAGACTGAAAGCCCTGTAACATTGGTTGGGCAGTGACTTTTAAAATTTGACCTCAAGTCTCAAGGAGCAAAATGAAAAAAATAGATCAATCAGATTATTTAAATTAAAAAACTGCTGCAAAGAACATAATACAATCAACAGGATGAGACAACCAAAAAATGGAAGGAAATATTTGCAAATCATAAATGTGACAAGGGATTAATATCAAAACTATGTAACAAACTCAAATGACTATAGAACAAAAAACAAGTAACTATTAAAAATGAGAAAAAGGCTTAAATATTTTTCAGAAAAAGACATACATATGGCCAACAGATATATTTTTAAAATGCTCAATGTCAATTATTATCAGGGAAAGACAAGCAAAAAAAAAAAAGAAAAACGATGAGATATCAACTCGCTTCTGTTAGAATGACTCTAATTAAGAAGAAAACGTGATGGTAGAAATCTGAAGAAAAGAAAATGCTTGCACACTATTTGTTTGAATGTAAGTGAGGACAGCCATTATGAAAAACTTAATAGAGTTTTCTTAAAAAACTTAAAAATCAAACTACCATATAACAATTGCACCATTGTATATCCAAAACAAATGAAATCAGAATGAAGAAACATTTGCACTTCTAGGTTGTTTGCAGCACTCTTCACATGTAAAATATATAAAATCAACAGTTCAACATCTAATGAGTAAATAAAGACAATGTGGTAGATATATACAATGGAATACTATTCATCTTTAAACAACAAAAATTCTGTTATTTTCAATCACAGGGATTAACCTGGAGGACATTATATTAGTTGAAATAAGCAAGGCACAGAAAGATTCATGTCTCATGATTTCACTTACACGTGGCTTCTAAAAAAGTTCATCTCATTGACGTAGAGAGTAAAATGGTGACCACCAAGTGCCAAGGTATTTAGAAGAAATAGGGGCATTGAAAGATGTCTGTCAAAGAATATATAATTATACTTGGATAAAAGAAATAATTTCCAGAGATTTATTGTACAGCATGGTGACTATAGTTCATAATAATGCATTTGTATTTTTGAAAAATGCTTACAATTTCATGTTGTCTAACCACAAAAATGTTACCAATATGAGACAAAGCATTAATCACATAGAACTAAGCATTTGACAATGTATATACACTTCAAAATGTTGTTTTATAAAATAAATATTTTGTCAAGTTAAAAATATATTTTTAGACACTATAGAAGGATAACAATGTTCCAAATACTGTCTGTTTCTTTTATAAAACTTAGCAGTATCCTATCGTACAGTTTTTCAGCTGTTTTGCCAGTCATAACCATAGGAACGTTGATGTTCAACAGCATGTTCTGAACCCAGCACAGGGCATGGGAGAAGCCAATGACTTTAGGGCTTTTATTTTAAGCTTGCGGCACCTGGAGTTACTGGTGCTTATGGTAACAGTACGAAAGACAGGAAAAGGGCAGGTTGCTTATGCTCCCATGACTGGCCACTGTGTGATCACAGTAAACTGGTTTGCATGCAAACTCACAGGAAATGTTTTAATCCAAAAGCTGCCATTATCTCCAAAAGTTTTGAGAGAAAATGATCAAGGAGATCGCTACACTTAGGTGACCAACAATATAAACTGTAGACTAAACTTCAGCCACTAAAATTTTTATTTAAAAAGTGAGCGATACATTTCTCCAAATTGTAGTATCAATATGGAAAATAAATATTATTCCAAATTTACAGGTTATTTTATTGTTTTGCAACCTTTAACATTCACTTTAAAATAGACAATTTTGCATGGAAATGTAGGTTGTGCTCTAAGTACATCCTAAATAACTAAATTTAAAATTGCTTACTTACTATTCTCTTAAAAATTGAATCTTTATAATATACATATGGTCTAGCAAATTATGTATTTGCCACACTATGTATAAAAATCTAATATTTTTCTTTTACAAAGAAACACCATGTTGATTTAATCCTCTCTTCGGTAGACAGTGTATGTCTTTTATGTTAATTAACCAATCTTAAAGTTATACTGATAAGCAAACTTTCCAGTTAAAACCAATGTTTCAGTGCATTAAAAAATACCGATGTTCTCCTTAAAACCTACAACATACCATGTGAAATCGCATGGCATGAAAACAACAGTGAGAAAACTGTAGCCATAACACAGAAAAAGGACTGTGATGCATATATGGTTTGAGTGCACTTAAAAAGACAAAACTTAGATAATTAAGACGTGAATGAAGCATTTCTCTTTAAATTCAGCAAGATTCAGCTTTGCAGCCTGGAAAAAGATGTTCTGCTCACATGAAGAATCAATGTTATTTCTTCACAATTTGTATTTTCCATCTCTGACTTGAAGTTACAAACTTCAGCAGGAATATTTATGACTAATTATAAAGCATCTGTTACACACTGAGCACTGTCATGTTTGTTTGCTACATTTATATATAAAAGCATCCACATGACTTATGAAGCTTCCCTAGTACTTACTGAAACAAATTGACTCAATAAATAAAATTTACTTTTGTTACTTATAAAAAGTTAAGGGAACAATAACTAAAGTAAGCCTATATATGGTTCTCCCATAGAAGCTAATGGAATGTTTTAACTAAATAAAATGTAACAATACACAAATTGTGGAATTATATCTAAAAATAATTTTGTTTGCATGATGAAATTTTACAAAAATTATTCTTTTAACTACAAATCAGCTCAGATTAAATACTTCATAAACTATAAAACAAAAAAATAAGAAACAAAAAGATTATGGGTCTAGCATGAGTATCATGCAAGTAAAAACAAAATTTACATGGAAATATTCTAAATGATAAGCTATAAGATAGGTGTATAAATTGAATACAAAGCAGAGAGTATACATTTGCTTTTATTTTATTTTTTTAATTTTTGTATTTTTAGTAGAGACGGGGTTTAGTAGAGGTCAGGGGTCTCGATCTCCTGACCTCGTGATCCGCCCGCCTCAGCCTCCCAAAGTGCTGGGATTACAGGCGTGAGCCACCGCGCCCAGCCTACATTTGCTTTTAGCATTTTTGAGGATTTTTGTTTCCTAGTAAATTAGACATCTTATTAAATGCTTTGTGGTTTCAATATTCCTCTTTTCTCCTGAAAATAGTTACAAACTTACAGTCAAACAAACACACTTACTCCTTAAACCTAAGTTATATCTTTAGACTAATAGATGTGTATATTTAACTCTATGTAAGTCAAAACTAAAACTCGATTATGTGCTTTCAGGCAGAGGCCACATGTGCAAAAAATACATAATAAATTTTTGAAAATTATTCAGGACTCAGAAATATATTGATTTTATTTACACTTATTTACAATTTTTATGATGACCATAAAAATAACCATGTAGTCAATAACAATTTAATTGTACAATTTAGAATAACTAAGACTGTAGAATTGGTTTGTAATACAAAACATAAAAGCCAGAGGTTATAGGTACCTTATTTATCACAATGTGATTATTATATATTGTATGACTGTATCAAAATATGCCATCTATGGCATAAATGTATACACATATTATGTACACACAAAAACTAAGAAAAATTTAAATGTAAAAAAAATTTAACCTGCAGGAACCATATTCTTTAACTTATTTGCAGTTTAAAGCCACTGAAAAAGAATACTAGAGATGTTAGTCTATTATGTTACCAAATAGTGTATTGTTACCATCTTTTAAATATACCCTTAAGTAAGGTGGAATAGGTTAAAACTAGTGGCATAATAACACTTTATTGAATGTATAACAGTATTTAACATGTTATAAATGTTGAAATAAAAAATTAACACATAATCTAAAACTTTAAAAATGCAATTTTATCACATAAAAGTACAATTAATAAAATGACATACTAATTTAATTAATTTTAACTATAAAATATGTTATTCTCTCATAATATTCTCTCATAATACTACATTAGTACATCACTTAGAGCCAGGTGCAGTGGCTCACACCTATTATCACAGCACTTTGGGAGGCCAAGGCAGACAGATCACATGAGGTCAAAAGTTCAAGAACAGCCTGGCCAACATGGCAAAACCTTGTTTTACTAAAATACAAAAATTAGCTGGATGTGGTTGTGGGCACCTGTAATCTCAGCTTCTTGGGAGGCTGAGACAGGAGAATATCTTGAACCTGGGAGGAGGAGCTTACAGTGAGCTGAGATCATACCACTGCACTCCAGCCTGGGAAACAGAGTGAGATTCCCTCTCAAAAAAAAAAAAAAAAAAAACTCTGAATGCCTACCTCATACATCACTCAATTCTATAAGTTAATCACAAATAGCCTTCCTACTTAGATTTTCATCGTGCATCTTACATTTTAATGTCCTTAGTCATCCATAAGAAATGTCATAATGACCATGTAAAAAGTCTCCCAAATCTTTGATGCAGAAAGAATTGATCACATGCTTTTATATGGGAATACAAGAGAAATTAAGAAATAGCATGAAGCAATTTAAGAGTTGAATTCCGTCATTATTCAGTTTCCAAATAAGCTTTTTTTTTTCTTTTGAGACAATCTCATTATCACCCGGGCTTCAGTGCAGTGGCAAAATCTCAGCTCACTGAAACCTCTGGCTCCCAGGTTCAAGTGATTCTCATGCCTCAGCCTCCCAAGTAGCTGGGACTACAGGTGTGCACCACCATGTTTGGCTAATTTTTGTATTTATTTTTAGTAGACATGGGGTTCCACCTTGTTGGCCAGGCTGGTCTTGAACTCCTGACCTCAGGTGATCTGCCCATCTTGGCATCACAAAGTATTGGCCTTACAGGTGTAAGCCACTGTGTCTGGCAAAAAAAAAAAAAAAAAAAAAAAATCGGTATTTTTAAGATAAAAGTATACTTTAAATGTAAATGTAACTCTTCAAAGGTCTACTTCTTTCAAAGTCATATACAAATAATTTTTCTTTTTAACAACTTTAGTTTTGGATTTTTTCCTATACTCAGCAGTCTGATTTAGTGTAATGTCTGAAGTTTGAGAGATAGGTATTTCTACTGTGAATTATCTATATTTACATAAACAATTTTGGATTAAATATTTTTATATTTACTGTATCTGCAAAAATATATTTTAGTATAAACTCTTTTGTGTTTTATAATTCTGTAGTTTTTGTAAAAATGTTTTTCCAAATTTATTAAATTTGCACGGTCATTCAATATAAATTCCCTGATGTTTAGCAAAGTTGGAACAACTACCTAAGGTTTTCCTGTAGTACAAAATGTGTACAATAAAATCTGTGATACAAGTAAAGGCACTACAACCCTCTTTATATTTGTAATGTTTTTCCTCAAAATAAATATTCTTCTGTATTTTAAGGGCTTTTATTTTCTGAAAGATCTAGTGACAATAATTGTACTTTTAATACTTTATTTAATATGAACTCTCTGGTGTTGAATAAGATGTGAGAAGATATTAGTGGCATTCACAATTTTTTTTTCCCAGTCTCTCTGTTGCCCAGGCTAGTATATAAATGCTTTCCTTTGCAATAAGGCATGAGTATTGGTTAAATGTGTGCCACATTGTTTATTCTAGTAGTTTTCTCCAGTATATTATCTTACCTACAATCAAGTGTGACAGCCATTTAAAGGCTTTGTCACATTCTTCACATTTCTAGGATTTCTCATTCATATGATTTCTTTTATATTCAGAAAAGTCTGAGGTGTTGCCAAAAGCATTGTCACATCTTTCAGGTTTGTAGAGTCTCTCATGTATGAATTAGCCTATGTTTCTTAAGAATTGAGGATCTGTTAGAGGCTTTCCCACATTCTTCACACATGCATGGTTTCTCTCCAGTATGAGTTGTCTTATATGTAGTAAGCCTTAAGGACTGGTTAAAGGCTTTGCCACATTCCACACAATTATAGGAATTCCCTCCAGTATGAATTACATGAATGTTTAGTAAGGATTGAGGAACAGCTAAAAGGCTTGCCACATTCTTCACATTTGTAGGGTTTCCCTCCTGTATAAATTCCCTTATGTTCAGTAAGGGTTGAGAACTAATGAAAAGCTTTGCCACGTTTTTCACATTTGTAGGGCTTTTCCTCCAGTATGAATTCTTTTATGAGTAGTAAGGTGTGAGGAACAGTTGAAGTCTTTATCACATTCTTCGCATTTGTAGGGTTTCTCTCCAGTATGAATTCTCTTATGTTCCACAAGGTTTGAGGACCGGTTGAAGCCTTTGTCACATTCTTCACGTTTGTAGTGTTTCTCTCCAGCATGAATTTTCTTATGTGTAATAAAGATTGAGGACTGTTTAAAAGCTTTGCCACATTCTTCACCTTTGTAGATTTTCTCTCCAGTATGAATTTTCTTATGTTTACTAGACTGAGAATCAGCTGAAGGATTTACCACATTCTTCACATTTTTAGGGATTCTCTCCAGTATGAATTTTCTTATGATAACTAACAGTTGAGGATGACTTAAAAGCTTTGCCACATTCTTCACATTTGTAGGGTTTCTCTCCAGTATGAATTCTCTTGTGTCTAGTAAGGCTTGAGGATCTGCTGAAGGCTTTGCCACATTCTTCACATTTGTAGGGTTTCTCTCCAGTATGAATTATCTTATGTTCAGTAAGGATCGAGGACCAGCTGAAGGCTTTGCCACATTCTTCACATTTGTAGCGTTTCTCTCCAGTATGAATTATCTTATGTTTAGTAAGGATTGAGAACGTACTAAAGCCTTTGCCACATTCTTCACATTTGTAAGGTTTCTCTGCAGCATGAATTCTCTTGTGTTTAGTAAAGCTTGAGGACCAGGTGAAGGCTTTGCCACATTCTTCACATTTGTAGGGTTTCTCTCCAGCATGAATTCTCTTGTGTTCAGTAAGGCTTGAGGACCAGCTGAAGGCTTTGCCACATTCTTCACACTTGTAGGGTTTCTCTCCAGTATGAATTCTCTTATGTTCCATGAGCTTTGAGGATGAGTTGGAAGCTTTGCCACATTCTTCACATTTGTAGGGCTTCTCTTCAGCATGAATTGCCTTATGTGTATTAAGGGTTGAGACCTTACTAAAGGCTTTGCCACATCCTTCACATTTGTAGGGTTTCTCTCCAGTATGAATAATCTTATGTTTAGTAAGGATTGAGGATCGATTAAAAGCTTTCCCGCATTCTTCACATTTGTAGGGTTTCTCTCCAGCATGAATTCTCTTGTGTTCAGTAAGGCTTGAGGACCAGCTGAAGGCTTTGCCACATTCTTCACACTTGTAGGGTTTCTCTCCAGTATGAATTCTCTTATGTTCCATGAGCTTTGAGGACGAGTTGGAAGCTTTGCCACATTCTTCACATTTGTAGGGCTTCTCTTCAGCATGAATTGCCTTATGTGTATTAAGGGTTGAGACGCTACTAAATCCTTTGCCACATTCTTCACATTTGTAGGGTTTCTCTCCAGTATGAATTATCTTATGTTTAGTAAGGATTGAGGATCGATTAAAAGCTTTGCCACATTCTTCACATTTGTAGGGTTTCTCTCCAGTATGAATTACCTTATGTTTAGTAAGGATTGAGAACTTACTAAAGGCTTTGCCACATTCTTCACATTTGTAGGGTTTCTCTCCAGTATGAATACTCTTATAATAAGTAAGGGTTGAGGACCAGTTAAAAGCTTTGCCATTTTCTTCACATTTGTAGGAATTCTCTCTAGTATAAATTCTTTCATGTTGAGATAGGTGTGAAAGCATGCAAAATGATCTGACATATTCTTTACATTTCAAACCTTTCTCTCCAGTATGCCTTATCTTATGTCTGTTTGAATTTGAACATTTATGAAAGACGTTTGCATATTTGCCACATTGAAATACTTTGCTCTGTGTAGTTGTTAAACTCTGGTTAAGTTTATTATAACCTTCTTTGTGCACGTTACACTCATCCACATTGGTACAACTAATTTTTAAGTGTAAATTCTCATGTCCACATTTGTCATATCTTCTCAATATCATTTTTTGGAAAGAATCTTCTATGCCTTGCTCTGGCCAAAACTCTTGGGAAAAATGAGAACATATAACTGAAAAGAAATAAAAATAACAAATTAATCTACATATTAGACTCAGATAAGTACAGTTTCCAAATCTAACCTATAAAATTATTCAAACTACATAAGCAAGACGACATTGCAATATGACACAGGCCCTAATTCTTCATAGATATATAAATGTAATAAAAACATATAGACCAAAATACATATGTGAATAATTTATACATGAGTTAAGTGTGTGCATTTCCTCAATTAAGCCCAATGCAAAGAGCCACATAGAAAACAAGAAAAGTTTGTTAAATTTACCCAATACAACTCTTTCTGCTCCTCAATATTACCTAGTCCCTTCAGAAGCAAATTGTCCATTTCTGATTTTTTTTTTTTTTTAAGGAAAGTAAAATATTGACACATCCAATTTAATTTTTGTCTTCTATGGCTCTTTCCACACACTGGTTTCTGTCTCTCATGACATAAAGTGCTGAAATACATGGTGGTATACTTTGAAATGAAAGTTTGAGCCTGCTGAGATCAAAGGTAAATGCACTGCAGCAGAGCACTGCAGTGCCACAGAGAGAGTACAGGTGTACCAAGTGATTACTTTTCAGAAGAAACATAAATAGTCTCTTTTAACTAAAAATAAACACAAAATTTCAGACAAGACAAACCTGAAGATGTTTGAGAGACCCACATAATCTCTAGCCAAGACCATTATTTTCTGACTATGCCAGGACAAAGCTACATTATAAATTTTGTGACAGGTGGCCTTTTTAAATGTCCAAATCTCAAAGATTACAGTCTATACAAAATAGGGCAATATAATCTTATCAAAAATATTATAAAGTTTTCAGAAAGAAACCATTGAAAATGTATATACTAATTTTAAAAATTGAATAGCACTCAATGAGTGAAGCAGGAACACAAAAGACTATAGAAAATGAGAAAAATGAGGATAAGAACAAAAATAACCAGTGAATTGTCAACAAAAGATTTGCAGGATAGAAGAGAACAGTGTGATATAGTCAAAGTTCTAAAAAAAAAAAAAAAAAGCAAACAAAAAAAAGAAGCTATAAAGTGAGAATAAATACCATCAGCAAATCTGTCCTGCCTAAAAGAAAAAAAAAAAAAGAGCTTTCAAAATAACCAAATTCTTAAAAAGTATATTTTGCACTGCATACGTCTTCCATAGGAAAGATGCTGAAAGTAGTTCTTACCACTGAAAATAACATAATGTAAGAAAACAACACCTAGTCATATAAAAATACATTATTTTCTAGGAAAGATATGCACACACAAAAAAATTGAATTTCTAGCATTATTCTAATGGTGCAGAAAACATTTTTAATTATTCTCTAACATTTGAGAGATAAAAGCACAGGAATTATTATAAACATCTGTTAATGAATATACAACATAAATAGATAAACTTAGCAACATCAGTGAAAAATTTAAGAGCAGACATAATAAGGAGGACTTTTTTATGCAACTGAAGTTAATTTTTCACCTGATTAAAATATATTGTTTTATTTTTAGAGGTTTTATGTAATCCCCAAGATACCACACAAAAAAATCTGTATACATACACAAAAGAAAAATAAGAAAATGAAAGCATATCAATACGAAAACCAGAAAGAAACAAAGGAAGACAGAAAGAGAAAATGAGGGACAAGATGAAAGAATTAAATAGAATAGGTAATAAAATAAAAGTAACTCCTTTACTTTCAGAAAATTATTTAAATATACGGAAAATTAACTTTCAAATCAACAGAATTTTAATAGATTTATTAACATTTTTTCTTTTGAGACAAAGTTTTACTCTTGTTGCCCAGGCTGGAGTGCAATGACACTATCTCAGCTCACCGTAACCTCTGCCACCCAGGTTCAAGCAGTTCTCCTGCCTCACACTCCCGAGTAGCTGGGATTACAAAAGTCTACCAACACTACCAGTTAATTTATGTATTTTTAGTAGAGATGAGGTTTCACAATGTTGGCCAGGCTGGTCTGGAACCCCTCACACCTTGGGTGATCCACCTGCCTTGGCCACCTAAAGTGCTAGGATTATAGGCACGAGCCGCCATGCCCAGGTTATTTAAAAAATTTTAAATATCAAGATCCAACTTGCCTTTCTACAAGAGTCAGTTGAAATCTAATGTTAAAAAGACTCAAAGTGGCAAGATGGAAGTAGACATTTCATGCAAATATTAGTCAAGTGAGAGCAGAAGAGGTCAAAATAATATTACACAAGCTAAATCTTAAGTCAAAGACTCATATTTTATAAAATGCACTTGACAATGAAACTCCAAAGAGACAAAGAAAGATATTAAAAAATAATAGATTAACTGGGAATCTGTGAAAAATCTGAATGTGTGTATGTGTGTGTCTCACATTAGGATTACAAATATATAAAGCAAATATTGATAGAATAGAAGAAACACAAGGAGATCAATATAATTATAGTAGGATATTATTATACCACACTTTCGGTAATAAAAATGAAAATAGAGGAGGCTGGCAAGATGGCCAAATAGGAACAGCTCTGATCTGCAGCTCCCAGCAAGACTGACACAGAAGGTGGGTGGTTTCTGCATTTCCAACTGAGGTACCCGGTTTATCTCAACGGGACTGGTTGAACAGTGGATGCAGCTCATGGAGGGTGAGCCGAAGTGGGGTGCAGTGTTGCCTCACCCAGGAAGTGCAAGGGGTTGGGGAACTCCCTCTCCTAGCCAAAGGAAGGGTTTAGGGACTGTACCATAAAGAACAGTGCTCTCCAGCCCAGATACTGTGCTTTTCCATGGTCTTCACAACCCACAGACCAGAAGATTCCCTCTGGTGCCTATGACACCAGGGCCCTGGGTTTCAAGCACAAAACTGGGAGGCCGTTTGGGCAGACACCAAACTAGCTGCAAGAGTTTTTTCTTTTTTTTCCCCATACCCCAGTATAGTGCCCAGAAGGCCAGTGAGACAGAACCATTCACTCCCCTGGAAAGAAGGCTGAAGCCAGGGAGTCAAGTGGCCTGGCTCAGTGGGTCCCACACCATGGAGCCCAGCAAACTAGGACCCACTGGCTTGAAATTCTGGCTGCAAGCACAGCAGTCTAAGCTTGACCTGGGAAGCTCGAGCTTGGTGGGGGAAGGGCGTCTGCCATTGCTGAGGCTTGAGTAGGCAGCTTTACCCTATAAAGCCACCCAGAAGATTGAACTGGGTGGAGCCCACCGCAGCTAGCAAGACCAGACTGTATCTCCAGGTTCCTCCTCTTTGGGCAGGGCATCTTTGAAAAAAAAAAAAAAAAAAAAAAAAAAGGCAGCAGCCACAGTCGGGGGCATATAGTAAAAACACCCATCTCCCTGGGACAGAGCACCTGGGGGAAGGGACAGCTGGGAGCACAGCTTCAGCAGACTTAAACATCCCTGCTGGACAACTCTGAAGAGAGCAGTGCATCTACCAGCACAGCGTTCAAGCGCTGCTAAGGGTCATACTGCCACCTCAAGTTGGTCCCTGACATCCGTGTCTCCTGATTAAGAGACACCTCCCAGTAGAAGCTGATAGAGACCTCATACAAGAGAGCTCTGGCTGGCATCTGGCAGGTGGCCTCTGGGACAAACCTTCCAGAGGAAGGAACAGGCAGCAATCTTTGTTATTCTGCAGCCTCTGCTGGTGATACCCAGGAAAAAGGGTCTGGAGTGGACCTCCAGCAAGGTCTAGCAGATCTGCAGCAGGGAGGCCTGACTGTTAAAAGGAAAACTAACAAACAGAAAGGAATAGAAGCAACATCTACAAAAAGGATGTTTACTCAGAGACACCATCCGAAGGTCATCAACATCAAAGACCAAAAGTCAATAAATCCATAAAGATGGGGAGAAACCAGTGCAAAAAGGCTGAAAATTCCAAAAACCAGAATGCCTATTCTCCTCCAAAGGATCACAACTCATCACCAGCAAAAAAAAAAAAACAAAACTGAATGGAGAATGAGTTTGACGAATTGACAAATTCAAATTTGCAAATTTCAGAGGTGGGTAATAACAAACTCCTCCAAGCTAAAGGAGCGTGTTCTAACCCAATGCCAGGAAGCTAAGAACCTTGAAAAAAGGTTAGAAGGATTGCTAATGAGAATAATCAGTTTAGAGAAGAACATAAATGACCTGATGGAGATGAAAAACACAGCACGAGAACTTTGTGAAGCATGCATAAGTATCAATAGCTGAATCGATAATGCAGAAGAAAGGATATCAGAGATTGAAGATCAGCTTAATGAAATAAAGCAAGAATACAAGATTAGAGAAAAAAGAATAAAGAGAAACAAACAAAGCCTCCAAGAAATATGGGACTATGAAAGGACCAAATCTTCGTTTGATTGGGGTACCTGAAAGTGATGGGGAGAATGGAACCAAGTAGGAAAACACTCTTCAGGATATCATCCAGGAGAATGTCCCCAACATAGCACGACAGGCCAACATTCAAATTCAGAAAATACAGAGAACACCACAAAGATGCTCCTCAAGAATAGCAACCCCAAGAGAGAGAATCGTCAGATTCACCAAGGTTGAAATGAAGAAAAAAATGTTGAGGGCAGCCACACAGAAATGTAGGGTTACCCACAAAGCAAAGCCCATCAGACTAACAGTGGATCTCTCTGCAGAAACCCTACAAGCCAGAAGACTGGGGGGCCAATATTCAACATTCTTAAAGATAGGAATTTTCAACCCAGAATTTCATATCCAGCCAAACTAAGCTTCATAAGCGAAGGTGAAATAAAATCCTTTACAGACAAGCAAATGCTGAGAGATTTTGTCACCACCAGGCCTGCCTTACAAGAGCTCCTAAAGGAAGCACTGAACATCAAAAGGAACAACTGGTAAACCAGCCACTGCAAAAACATACCAAATTGTAAAGACCATCGACACTATGAAGAAACTGCATCAACTAATGGGCAAAATAACCAGCTAGCATCATAATGACAGGATCAAATTCACACATAACAATATTAACCTTAAATGTAAACAGGCTAAATGCCCCAATTAAAAGACACAGACTGGCAAATTGAATAAAGATTCAAGATCCAACAAAGTGCTGTATTCAGGAGATCCATCTCACATGCAAAGACACATATAGGCTCAAAATAAATTGATGGAGGAATATTTACCAAGCAAATGGAAAGCAAAAGAAAGCAGGGGCTGCAATTCTATTCTCTGATAAAACAGATGTTCAGCCAACAAAGATCAAAAGAGACAAAGATGGGCATTACATAATGGTAAAAGGATCAATGCAACAAGAAGAGCTAACTATCGTAAATATATATGCGCCCAACACAGGAGCACCCAGAATCATAAAGCAAGTTCTTAAAGACCTACAAAGAAACTTAGATTCCCATACTGTAATAGTGGGAGACTTTAACACCCCACTGTCAATATTAGACAGATAAATGAGACAAAAAACTAACAAGGATGTTCAGGACTTGAACTCAAGCAGACCTAATAGACATCTACAGGGCTCTACCCCAAATCAACAGAATATACATTCTTCTCAGCATCACATCACACTTATTCTAAAATTAACCACATAATTGGAAGTAAAACAGTCCTCAGCAAAAGTAAAAAAACAGAAATAATAACAAACAGTCTCTCAGACCACAGTGCAATCAAATTAGAACTCAGGATTGAGAAACTCACGCAAAACCGTACAATTACATGGAAAATTAACAACCTGCTCCTGAATGACTACAGGGTAAATAATTAAATGAAGGCAGAAATAAAAAAGTTCTTTGAAACCAATGAGAACAAAGACAAAACATACCAGAATCTCTGGGACACAGACAAAGCAGCAGTGTCTACAAAATTTGTAGCACTAAATGCCCACAAGAGAAAGCAGGAAAGATCTAAAATTGACAACTTAAAATCACAATTAAAAGAACTAGAGAAGAACAATCAAATTCAAACCCTAGCAGAATACAAGAAATAACTAAGAACAGAGCAGAACTGAAGGAGATAGACACAAAAAACCCTTCAAAAAAATCAGTGAATCCAGGAGCTATTTTTTTTTTCAAAAAGATCAACAAAATAGATAGACTGCTAGCCAGTCTAAAAAGGAAGAAAGGAGAGAAGAATCAAATAGATGCAATCAAAAATAATAAAGGGGACACCGCCACTGATTCCACAGAAATACAAACTACCATGAGAGAATACTATAAACGTCTCTATGCAAATAAACTAGAAAATCTAGAAGAAATGAATAAATCCCAGGACACATACACCCTCCCAAGTCTAAATCAGGAAGAAGTCAAATCCCTGCATAGACCAATAACAAGTTCTGAAATTGAGGCGGTACTTATGGGCCTACCAACCAAAAATGTCCAGAATCTGATGGATTCACAGCCTTTGTACCAGAGGTACAAAGAAGAGCCGATTCTTTCTGAAACTATTCCCAACAATAGAAAAAGAGGGACTCTTCCATAACTCATTTTATGAGGCCAGCATCATCCTGATACCAAAGCCTGGCAGAGACACAACAAAAAAAGAAAATTTCAGGCCAATATCCCTGATGAACACTGATGCAAAACTCCTCAATAAAATACTGGTAAACCGAATCCAGCAGCACATCAAAAAGCTTATCCACCAAGATCAAGTTGGCTTCATCCCTGGAATGCAAGGTTTGTTCAACATACACAAATCAATAAATGTAATCTATCACATAAACAGAACCAAAGACAAAAACCACATGATTATCTCAATAGATGCAGGAAAGGCTTTTGACAAAATTCAACACCTTTCGTGCTAAAAACTCTCACTAAACTAGGTAGAGATGGAACATATCTCAAAATAATAAGATGTATTTATGACAAACCCACAGACAATATCATACTGAATGGGCAAAACTGTAAGCATTCCCTTTGAAAACTGGCACAAGACAAGGATGCCCTCTCTCACCACTCCTATTCAACATAGTATTGGAAGTTCTGGTGAGGGCAATCAGGCAAGAAAAAGAAATAAATGATATTCAAATAGGAAAAGAGGAAGTCAAATAGTCTCTATTTGCAGATGACATGTTTGTATATTTAGAAAACCCCATTGTCTCAGCCCAAAATCTACCTAAGCTGATAAGCAACTTCAGCAAAGTCTCAGGATAGAAAATCAATGTGAAAAAATCACAAGCATTCTTATACACCAATAATAGAGAGCCAAATCATGAGTGAACTCCCATTTACAATTGCTACAAAGAGAATAAAATACCTAGGAATACAACTTACAAGGGATGTGAAGGAACTCTTCAAGGAGAACTACAAACCACAGCTCAAGAAAATAAGAGAGGACACAAACAAATGGAAGAACATTCCACGCTCATGCATAGGAACAATCAATATCGTGAAAATGGCCATACTGCCCAAAGTAATTTACAGATTCAATGCCATTCCCATCAAGCTACCATTTACTTTCTTCACAGAATTAGAAAAAACTACTTTAAATTTCATATGGAACCAAAAAAAAAATCTCACATGGCCAAGGCAATCCTAAGCAAAAAGAACAAAGCTGGAGGCATCATGATACCTGACTTCAAATTATACTACAAGGCTACAGTAACCAAAACAGTATGGTACTGGTATCCAAACAGATATATAGACAACTGAAACAGAACAGAGCCCTCAGAAATAACCTCACACATCTACAACCATCTGATCTTTGACAAACCTGACAAAAACAAGAAATGGGGAAAGGATTCCCTATTTAATAAATGATGTTGAAAAAACTTGCTAGCCATATGCAGAAAAATGAAACTGGACCCCTTCCTTACACCTTATACAAAAATTAACTCAAATTGATTTAAAGATGTAAAAGATTTAAAGATGATGTAATACCCCAAACCATAAAAATCCTAGAAGAAAACCTAGAGAATACTACTCAGGACACAAGCATGGGCAAATACTTCATGACTAAAAGAGCAAAAGCAATGGCAATGAAAGCCAAAATTGACAAAAGGGACCTAATTTAACTAAAGAGCTTCTACACAGCAAAAGAAACTATCATCAGAGTGAACAGGCAACCTACAGAATGGGAGAAAAATTTTGCAATCTATCCATCTGACAAAGGGCTAATATCCAGGATCTACAAAGAACTTAAACAAATTTACAAGAAAAAAAACAAACAACCCCATCAAAAATTGGGCAAAGGATATGAACAGACACTTCTCAAAAGAAGACATTTATGCAGCGAACAGACACATGAAAAAAAGCACATCATTACTGGTCATTAGAGAAATGTAAGTCAAAACCAAAATGAGATACCATCTCACACCAGTTAGAATGGAGATCATTAAGAAGCCAGGAAACAACAGATGCTGCAAAGATGTGGAGAAGTAGAAAAGCTTTTACACTGCTGAGTGGAGTGTAAATTAGTTCAGCCATTGTGGAAGACAATGTGGCGATTCCTCAAGGATCTAGAACTAGAAATACCATTTGACCCAGTAATCCCATTACTGGGTATATAATCAAAAGTTTATAAATCATTCTACTATAAAGACACATGCACATGTATGTTTACTGCAGCACTATTCACAATAGCAAAGATTTGGAACCAAGCCAAATGCCCATCAGTAATATACTGGATAAAGAAAATGTGGTACATATACACCATGGAATACTATGCAGCCATAAAAAAAATGAATTCACATCCTTTGCAGGGACACGGATGAAGCTGGAAACCATCATTCTCAGCAAACTAACACAAGAACAGAAAACAAAACACAGCATCTTCTCAAATATACAGGAATTTAACAAAACACTCGAGCACGCTCTTATGCAAAGGTTGTAATAATACTGTAAAGATGTTCATCCTGCTCAATGTAATCTACACAGTTAATGAAATGTTCCTCAAATTTCTCACTGCATTTTTGAAAAAATAGAAACAGCAACCCTAAAAGTATATAGAATCTCAAAAGACAATACCCAACAATCTTAAAATAATAATAATAATAAAGCAATGTTGCAGGCATTAAAGTTCCTGATTTCAAAAGACATTCCAAGCTACAGAATTAAAACAATCTGGTTAAGTATAAGGATGAAAAATTAGACTAATAAAATAGAATGCAACATATATATATATATATATATATATATATATATATACATACACACTTTAAGATATATGGTCATATGAGGAGTCATTTACATAGCAATAATTATTACTGTAAACTAATAAAGGCAATGCAAATTTGTTACCAAATCATTCAGTAAATATAATTTGAAATATAAAAATACTGGAATATCACTCAGTTTTCAAAAGCAGAAATTATAAAGCAATTATAAAGATAAATCTTGATAACATTATGCAAAATGAAATGAGTCAGCCATAAAAAGACAAAGATTCTATGAGATAGATAGATATAAAGCAATTACACTCTTAGAAACAGATAAAAAGAAAAAGGTCCCCTATTTGCTTAACCCCCAACAGCAAGAAAGTCTGTCAGTCATCCACGACAAAAATGTCTTAATGAGAGAATCAGACATCATGGTTAACATCTGTAATGACAGCTACATGGTATAGAAAGGTTGGAGAATTGCTGCAGGCCAAAACTTTAAGACCAACCTGGGTTATGTAGTGAGACCTTATCTCAAAAATAAGTGCCTTTAAGAGAGCTTTGAGATCCAGTGAGGGAATTGTGAAACTTTGCTAAAGCCCAAGATTGAGGAGCACCCTTTTCAGAAGGCAAGCTTTCATTCAGGTGGCAAACTAGAGGACCCCTGCTCTTGACTACAGACCAGAAAATGTCCCACCCTACTTGGTCCCACAGAGAATTTTGAACTTACTCTGTAACCATCCCAAACTCCTCCCAGCCACAGTCTGTGAGAGGTCTTGGTCCTCCAGAGGCTTGGAGACTGATACCCATTTAGAGCCATGCTGGCAGGCCTGCAGACCTTGGTCCTTACTGTCGTCCCAATAGCAGTTCCATGACTCAGTTCCAGCTTCCTAAGCCACAGTTCATGGCCAGTTCTGCCTACATAGAATCCCACAGTGACCTCAGAAATCCTCTCTGGTACTCAATGAAAAGCCATACTAATCCACATCCTAATATAAAGCCCACCATATGCAGACTTGACTGTAGAAACCTGCCCTAGCGTCTACCCTACTGAGCAACGTCCTGAAGGATATTTACTCTGTCCAAAAATAAAATGGGAATTACAACTGCCCAAGCCCCTTGTAATAAGCCAACCCTAGTGCAGAGCCAGCAGCCTTGTGACCAAGCTACAACCCCACTCTACTACAAACCCAGAGGGCATTCTATCACCCTGGGGGCCCCAAAAAAGAAGATTTTTACCCTCTGAAACCAGTTTATAAAAATTTTAAGAGGTGTTTACTCCTTCAAATTCAGACACCAATGCAAAAGCATACTGTGCCACTGACAATGCTTCTATCTTAACACAGCACTTGAAGTATGTGGAAGAAAAATTAGTCAAAAAAATTTTTAAGTCACTGAAATTGAAGGCAAATAAGTAAAACATTGCTGTTTGTAGATCATGCAATGTTCTCTATAAAAAACCATAAACAGTACATTAAAATCTTTTCAAACTAATAAATACACTCAGCAAATTAGCAAAATATAAAATTAACATACAAGTATAAGTTATGATTCCATACACTTAAACTATCTGATAAAATAGAAAAAGAAAACCATCTTATTTACAATAGCACTAAAATAATAAATATCTGAGAACAAATTTAATTGAGGAGCTGAAAAACTTTTCAAGGATTTATCAATGAAAAATGAGAGAACACAAATAAATTTAAATATATTTTATGTCTATAGATTCAAATAAATGTTAAAATATCATATTACCCAAAGTGATCTCTAGATTCAGTAAACTCTGTCAATATTCCAGTGTTTTTCTTTCACAGTAATGAAAAATACAATCATAAAATTTACATGAAGCTACAAGAAACTGTGAATAGCCAAAGCAATCTTGAGGAAAAATAAAAAAGCAGAAGGATATTATACTTTATAATTTCAAACTATATTTCAAGACTATAGTAATAAAAACAGAATGAAATGTGCAGAAAAATGAACCAAAAAAACCCCAATGATACAGAAACCACTACTCTCACACACTTCAGAGATGATGGAAAAAGAGAACTTAAAAGATAGTTTAACATGGAGTACCTTAAAATTACGCGGATATCTATGTGTCCACAAAAACAAAAAAAAGTCAGATTGCACTCTCTTGTATGCCATGAACAGTACTTTGGCTATCACTGTAAACTTGAAGGAAAATTACTTAAGGGAAAGAAGAATTCTTAGAAATTTTAAAAGCATAAGTTAGAAGATGCCCCTGTGTGAGAGAAAATTAAAAAATAAAAATAAAAATTAGCTTTCCAGAAACAACTACTTTTGGAACACAGCTTCCCAAATGACTTTAAGGACTGGCTTCCTCATTGACTTTGGACTTCTCATTCATGTTGTCTGTATTCACTCTCACCTACCTGGGGGTTCTTCCACCATCTCATGTCTCTTCATATTCCAGGGCTCTTTTCCTTGCTCCAGAAAAATGATCAGGTCTGGCTTAAAGGCAGCAATACCTGTTTTATTAAAAATGAACAACATCCATCTTGCTCATATTCTCCAATTACCAACTTAGTAATGTGCTCAGTAAAGAGGATGTAATAGAATATTCTAATACATTTATCCCAAAATACTAAATTATAACATGTCTGTTGAAGAAAAACGTTATGTGCAGTTGCTTAAAGTTCTGTTGAAACAGTCTGGAGCTCAAGTTAATTCACAAACATTAAGCTTCTTCAGAAGGTTATTGCGCATAACCCATGGTTTCTGCAGGCAGGTACTCTCACTGTGGAAAACTGGAACAGAGTAGGAGATGGATTGAAATGGGTTCGTCAAAAAGGTCTTAAAGGAGACCCTTCTGTGTTTTCTGCTTGGGGTTTGGTTTGCACGGTCCTACTGCCGCTGTCTCCTTCTTATTTTGTCAGACAACAGGAGTCAGGTTTTGAGTCTCAAGAATTAAAAAGATAATTTCTTCCTCCAACAGCGCCTATTGAAAATAATGAGCAGGAGAAAGGGAAGAATTGTCCATTTGCTAAGCAGGAAAAAGGAGAGGAGAATTGGCCTCTGCTACCCCCTCCAATAACAGAAGTAGAAACTCCCATACAAAAAATTTTGCATGCTGATGCTGCGGCTAGGGAACCTTTAGGACCTTGTGCTTTTCCTATTACTGTGAGGCCTGATCCAAACAATCTGCAACATCTTTTACATGAGCACACTCCTGTACAGTTTAAATTACTGAAAGAATTAAAAGCTAGTGTGGTTAATAATGGAGTGCAAAGCCCATTCACTATAGGGCTGTTAGAATTGGTGTTCAGAGCCATGCACCTCCCACTCTTTGATATAAAACATTTGGGTTGCACTTGCTTATCCGCCAGTGCATACCTGATATGGAGCTTAAACTGGCAAGAAATGTGTGCAGATCAGGCTAGGTAGAATCACACTGCTGGTCAAGGAAACATTAGAGAGAAAATGATGACAGGCAATGGCCCATTTTCAGATCTGGTACAATAATTAACATTCCCAGATGCTGCTTACCACTGGTCTGCCTTAGCCGCCAAGCATGCTTGGAGCACAATTCCTGAAGAGGGAGTTCCAGTGCAGTCTTTCTACATGTCATGCAGGGATCATGAGAGCCTTATGCACAATATATCACATGGCTGCAAGAGGCAGTGTGGCATCAGATCCCTAATGCCCCTGCTGCAGAAATGCTTACCATAATTCTAACCTATGAAAATGTAAATGCAGATTGCAAGTGTGCAATGGCTCCTGTGAGATCCACACAAAGCTTGGGGAATTACCTTAAAGCTTGTCAGAATGCAGGAACTGAATTTCATTGTTCTACAATGTTAGCACAAGCAATGGCTAGTTTAGTAGTTGACAGATCTAAAAGGAGCCAAGGTTCAAACCCTAAAGTGGGAAAATGTTACAACTGTGGAAAAACTGGACATTTCAAAAAGGAATGCCACCAGATCTCAGGACAGAAAGGACCTTACAATGCGGTGCTCCCCACCCCGAGCAGAAAAAACACCAGGATTCTGTCCTCGCTGTAACAAAGGGAATCACTGGGCTGTAACAATGGACATCATTGGGCGAATCAGTGCCGCTCAAAATTTCATCATAATAACACCCCCGCTAGGAAACAAGAAGGGGCCCTGGACCCAGTCCCCTCAAACAATGACGGCATTCCCAGTTCAGGCCACAACCCCACTTCAAGGGTTGGTCCCAGGAGAAACATTGATTCCCTCTCCCCAGGAACACCAGGAAGTGCACGATTAGATCTCCCAGTCAGAGAAAGAATTACATTAGTTATAGGAGACAAACCTACCAAAGTACCCACTGTCATTTGGGGACCTATACCAGCAGGATACATGGGACTAATTTTAGGCAAAAGCTGCCTTAACTTGCAAGGCATCACTGTAATCCCAGGAGTAGTTGACTCCAATTATAAAGGAGAAATCCAAGTAGTTTTAATGTCACAAGATCTTTGGGTTTTTGAACCAGGGGAATATATAGTGCAATTATTGCTTATGCCCTGCAAATTACACCCTTTTCCACAAAAGGAGAAATGAGGAAATAAAGGGTTTGGGAGCACAACTACATGAGAAATCTATCCATCACAACTCATAGCCTCTAACAGACTCACCTGTGTAGTACAAACTAAAGGAAAGAAATTTTATGGGCTTATGGAAACAGGAGCCGATGTGTCAGTAATACCCAGTAAGGATTAGCCCCCGTCTTGGCACATTTTGGGTCGCATCCCTGGGCTATGGATTTCTAATAATCTGTCCAAGCCTTGGGCTGCCACCCCTGCTTTGCACTTTGTGAAACTTCTTCTAACTCAACTTACTTATCGTGTCCGCAGACCCTTAGGCATGATAATTTTTGCTATTGTTTCCTTGGTCACACTAATAACTTCTATTGTGATGTCCTCTGTAGCTTTGCATAGTTCTATTCAACAGCTCAGTATGTGGAGAACTGGATGCAGAGGCATACAGCCAACCAAGCATGGCTACTAAAGAATAAAATTAACACTGAGTTATAAACAAGTGGCAATGTTGAAATCCATGGTTCTATGGTTAGGAGAACAATTACAAAACTTACAATTGAAAGAGCAATTGTGCTATCATTTAAATCACACTCATATATGTGTAACCAACGTAGAATATAACCAAAGCGAGTATCCATGGGACCTTGTGAAAGCCCATTTGCGGGGAGCTTTCACACCCAACATCACCTTTGATACTGGTGAATTACAAAACAAAATTCTTGATTTAAATAAGCAAACTCAAGAGTTTCAGCCTTCTTTAGAAGACTGGACCGAATTCCAGCAAGGCCTGGAGAGCCTCAATCCTTGGACCTATCTAAAGCACCACACAAACATCTCATATGTAGTTTTTGGAGTAATGCTGTTCTGTCTCTGTTTTCTGTTCATAGTCTGTAAAATCCGACGGACCAATCACAAAATGAGAGCTGCCCAACCTGGCCTTACGTTTATTTGATTAATGCATAAACAGGAAGGGGGAAATGTTGGGAGCTGAATGCCTGAGTGTTGTGACCAACTCAGCATTCCACTGGAGGCTATATGATCAAACAGCAAACTGTTTATCATGAGTGCAGAATGTGGGCAAACTTGCTTCTGCTCCTGCCACCAGAAGGTATACTGAGGACAGTCACTCCCTGGTGCCATGCTCCTTGGAGTTATCTACTGGAACATCTGGAGAGTACTGTTCAAAGAATACAGTCATGCAGGCCTGCATTAAGTCAAGCAGCTGACCACAACCTCCCCCTTCTCCCTATCTCCTTTACTCAATAAATACAAAGGGCTATAGAAGCTCAGGACCCTTGTTCACCAGAAGCAAGGAGTCCACGACCCCTTCTTCCAAATATACTCTTTTGTCTTTGTCTGTATTCTCGCATTCATCCTCCTTTGTTCAGTCCAATAAGGTCTGCAGCAAAATGAAACCTGTAGTATATACTAGGAATTGCGTATTAAAGTTATTCTCACCCAGGAAGACCAGGTTTCTGTAGTTCTCTAACATCACATTCCTATATAAATTCTGCTGTGTAGAATCCAGGCATTGCCACTCCTCCAGAGAGAATTCTATGGCCACATCCCTAAATGTCAATGCTCCCTGGAAAACACACACAAACACATATATTTACCAATTGGTCATGGGCAGAACTTTTAATGTGACTCAAGGTAAAATGGAGAGAGTAGAGAGAGCTGGTTCTGACTTATATGAATGACTGAAATTATTCAATAAAATAGTTTTCAACACAGAAATGTTCACTAATGTATTCTCTAACTCTGAGAAAAGAAAGTGGTATAAGATCCATAACATCTGTGTATATGTAATATTTTTCTAGATAATAAAGTATAAAATTGAGGGCAAAAACACTAACATGTACAATTTTGAGTGCTATATTTACATCATACAGAATTGTGTGCCAGGCATGGTGGCTCATGCCTGTAATCCCAGCACTTTGGGAGGCTGAGGTGGGCAGATCACCTGAGGTTGGGAGTTCGAGACCAGCCTGACCAACATGGTGAAACCCCGTCTCTACTAAAAACACAAAATTAGCCATGCATGGTGGCACATGGCTGTAATCCTAGCTACTCGGGAGGCTGAGGCAGGAGAATTGCTTGAACCCAGGAGGCGGAGGCTGCAGTGAGCCAAGATTCATTGCACTCTAGCTTGGGCAACAAGAGTGAAACTCCATCTCAAAAAAAAAAAAAAAAATTCATCGTGTGTATTTTTCAGATGGAAAAGACATAGTTTTGCATATTATTCAGATGGAATAGACATGTTGAGTTAGAAGGTATGACTCAAATTTTAATGTGTGCAATAAGCTAGAGATCCTGTTAATGCAATTTTTTTTTTTTCAGATCTGGGATAAAGTCTGAGTTGCTGAATTTCTAATAAGCTCATCAGTATGCCAATGTTTTTGGCCCAAAAAGACTATTTTTTAAAACATCCAGTAATAGAATGAGCCTGTGTTTTTCTGTTTTTCTGGTTTGTAAACAAAGATAAGAGCCTTCATTTTCCAAAAACAGACAAATGCAAAGGAAACCTAAGAAAGAAGGGCAGCTGTCAGATTAAATGTTTTGGTTTATTCACATCAGCTGCATAAAGATATTTAATGATGAAGAGGAAAATGATTAATTCCATAGTAAAAAAATGTGTCAGAGAGCTTATCAACCAAGTGATTTATTAACATCAATTACACTAGAACACATTTTTTTAATGTCCTGATGTACCCAGAAGGACACAGTATTACTGCTGAGATATTGCCCCCCCTCTGAAAGGTAAATTATAGTCTGAATTTAACCATAAGGAAACATTAGTTTTATGGAAAGTTCAAGATAGAGATATCTCCCATGTTCTGTAACTTTTAGTAGTGATTTTAAATAGTATTTCTTCAGCACTGAGAGAGCAGGTATCTCCTAACAATTTTTTTTAGAATTTTCTGGGTAATAAATACCACACTGCTTCAATGAGTGTTTTCTTAATCTTGTACTGCATAGACATAATAAAGAACACAGATGAAACCACAACATTACATGTTCTCTGTCTTCACTAAAAACCCCAGGTTTTCCCCAATATGAATTTTGAGTATCTACACTTTCCCATGTTCAACAGCCACAAAGGGACATTTTTAATATTGCAGATTATAAATTCATAGTGAGATTTCTGCATGGCATATAAGAAGCCATAATATAGAGAAAGCTCTGGTATATAGAAAAAAATATATTTTTCAGAGACTTTGATTATTGTAAGAATTTTTTAAAGCAGTTAAGACAAACTCATTAGGGAGGAAAAACACAGGTACACAGAAGTACAGGTTTGCAAGTACTAAACGTATGTTTCCTGGAGGAAGAATAGTGGACACAGATCTTGATCTCAGACATGTTTAGGTGAAAAAGAAAAGGCCATTTTTTTCTCTTTCTCCTCCTTCCCTAGGATTCTTTCTCAGATAAAATTTTCTAGACAAATTACACCTGCATCTTGAGAATATGCCTTTAAAAGTGTCAGCACCACAGGTCTACCTGCTGTCACCACATCCACAGGCAGAAGAACCAAGACAGAAAAACTCCATCCATTTCTGTCCTTTATAGCAGAAGAGATGAAGAAACAATGAGTAGCTCCACAGAGATAAAAATATGCTTTTCTTTATTTTGTCCTCAGGAGCCATCCCCTGACACAGGCACCAGCAATTTCTGCCACAGTAATGTAAATATGGGCCACGGTGTACTGTCCCTACCAAATCCAAACAGAACAGGTTCTTGGACCACCCTTTAATGCAAAGATGGAACTTAACTCTCATGAATGTATTATGAATTCCTCATACTTGATTCTGGCCTCACCTTAGAGTCACATGAGCCACTTAATTAAAACAACATGAATGCTTCCACCAAGAACAATAAACAGAATCCATGGAAAGGGCACAAGTAAAGAGAGTTCTGCAAAATGGCCAGGTGATACTAATTAGAAGCCTGGGCTGATAACCCCTTAACTAAGCATTTCCTCTCAAGCTCTAAGGAGCTTATAAATGACTTGGTAATTTTGGCCCCACTCTATGAAATGTAATTCTGCAGGTATGGAAAGGGTCCATAAATGGGTCACTTAAACAAGTGCGCTGTCAATAATGATGTTGCTCCCACTGGGCTTATTATTAGCATTAATTAGAGAAATGAGGCAGAACACAGATACTTCTGGTACAAATGAAAACAATCATTCTTCATCCTAAAGTATTATATTATTTGCTGACTCTTTAAAATTTACAGAGAAAACAGAAAGCAGCAATTTCTGAGTAAGTCAGCATTTGGAAAACAACGTGTGCACATGTACTAATGCAATGTTTATTAAGCAGGTACTATGTGCTCAATAGGATGTTAGAGTACTGTGATAGCACATTATGTGATTTAATCCTAATAACACCCTTTCAGTTGATACTAAGTGTTCAATAATTCCAAGGCTTTAAAGGACCCAGCATTTTTATTTCTATTTGTTTATCTGTCATTGATTTTTCAAAAAATGCATAGAATAAAAGCTAACTATAGACAGATGAAAGGGATACAGATGGAAAGAGCTTAATAAAATTTAGATAAATTTTTATTGTGTTTATATTTACTTTCTTGTGACTTGTGAATCAACTGCAAAGAATAGAAAACAGAACAGAAAACAGAAATCAGCTGCAGGAACAGAAAACAAGTTGCTAAATAATGTCTCTGCAAGCACTGGTTTTAATTAAAAATTTGTAAAGTAAGATTCTATAATACATACTTTATATTTCCCATTTATCTGCTTTTAAGTCTCAGAAAATGTTGAACACCAGCTCTAAAAAGGCAACAGTATTCATGACCCAAAACTCTGATCTCTTCTAATCAGTTCTTTGAGGCAAGACTCCAGGGTAGGGCCAGACATAAATAAGGCCTCCAAAAAGGGTGAATATGAACAGGGCTGGGGCAGAGTGTAGAGCCAATGTACAATTCTGTTCTCTATGGCACTGGGGGGTATTGTAAGTTCTTTTTTTTTAAATCTTACTTAAGTAAACTTAAATCTGAGTTTGTATAATTTTAATCTTTTTTAGCCACTGCCCTGTAAATTTTATATTACATACTAATAAGAAATTTAAAAAAAAATCCCTTAAGGTTTTCTATAATAATTTTTTTAGAAGAAAAATAAGTATTCTTAGCAGGGTAAAAGAACTACAAATAATAATAACAACTCTTCCAATTATAAGTTCAGGTGTAGACATCAGAAACCACAATATAAAGAAAGTGGCTCAAATAAAGCCCAAGTTGTTTTTTGCACATCTATTTATTGTACCCACCATATGATGCATAATTCAACCATTTTTCCAGTTGTTAGTTTAGACTAAAACTTCCAGGATGGTAGGAATCATGACTGCTTCATCAATTTTTTTTTTTTTTTTTTTTTGAGACTGAGTCTCACTTTGTTGCGGAGGCTGGAGTGCAATGGTGTGATCTCGGCTCACTGTAGTCTCCACCTAACAGGTTAAAGAGATTCTCCTGCCTCAGCCTCCCAAGTAGCCAGGACTACAGGCATGAGCCACCACACCTGGCTAAAATATGTTGGTTTATTCAACACATTATTCAATATTATTCAATATGGTGAAATCCCTATTTCACCATGTTGGCCAAGCTGGTCTCGAACTCCTGACCTCAGGTGATCCACCATCTTGGCTTCCCAAAGTACTGGGATTACAGGTATGAGACACTGCACCCAGCCTGCTTCTTCTATTTTTTTTTATGACTATATGAAATTGAAGCAATTAGTTTATCTCTTTGAGCCTCCAGACCTCCTGATTTTTTACTCAAGTACCAGGGATCTGTTCTGGACATTCTCAAATGTCTCAGAGATTCGTAGGTGATTGTGAGAGGGTTCCCAGTGAACCTGGGCTGATGGTCCAATGATAAGACAGACAGAGAAGACTCAGGATGATTCTAAATAAAAAATGGAACTACTTTGGCTGAACTCCAGAATCTGGGTTGCCTGTCCTGATTTGCTAGCTGTTGGGTAAGTAGAAGGACAAGAATACTCTACTCCAGTATCACATTTTACAAGTAGGTATAGTTGTGGTGTGGCTCTGGATACTTTGTGGCCTTAAGATGATTGTTTACACTTACAGATTCTGCCATCAGATTCTATTTACTCCTGGAGCCTCTCACATAACTGGGGCAGGTTAATGAAGATGTGAAAGGTCAAAAGGCCACACTCTCAAAAAAGGAAATTAAAATGTCTATGTTGATATCTCACAATGCAGAAAATGCCTCCTGTTGGTTTTCTGTAAATTCTCAATCCAAAGTCTGGCTTTGCCTTGTAAATTCCAGGCAGAGGCCAGGTCTTATTTACAAATTCTAGGTGAAATCAACCTCACTCTGCATTTTTGGGTGTTACAGCAAGTAAAGTGAAATGAAAGGAGAGATCCCCTCTTAGAGGCTGCTCTAGAACATTCTAAATAATATTTTACCTGAAAAAAGCTGACACAACATGAACATAAGCAGACAGTTTATTTGGGTCAAGCTTAAGGATTTTAACTTGAGACAAAATATTCAAGTTGCCTGGAATCTACACTTTCATTAGCAGCACTTACAAGTGGATTTGTAAAGGCAAAAAAAAAAAAAAAAAAAAAGAGGTACAGTGAATGAGCTGATACGAAATTGGTTGTGAGAAATTTTACTTATGTAAAGAAATAACTTTAATAATTGATTGCATATACATCAAGGTTAAGGGTATGGAATTTAGTGTCCAGAGTGGAATTATTGGTCTAATTTAAAGCTACTTGTGGCAATAGTGAACAGTTTCAAGAGATAAATACATAGCTGAAGAAAAGGGAGAAAAACATAACTGTGCTCATTTTAATGGCTCTCTGACTTTGATAACTAAAAGGACTTGCATTCCTCAGATAAAAACTTTTTTTTTTCTTTTCAATTCTCAAGACCTAGATTTAGAATTTGGAGCTGCAAATTCAGGTCCTGCATGGGTAAAGTAGCAGCAGGTGGTATCTGAATATTTGTGGGCATTATAGCATGAGGAGGGAGGGAGAACTGGATTCTCACGTCTACAGGTCTACTCAATGCACATATTTTACTCTGATTGGGTTTCTGTGCCCCATGGTCACTGAATCAGTTTCAGGTCTGAAGACAAGTCATTGAAAGAGGTAAAATGGTTAATATCTGACCTATAAAGTTTGTAGAAATCTGTTCTAGCCTCTCTAAAAGTGACTGCAGAGGATGATAGATACCAAGTAGGCAGAGACACAATTCCACCTGCATATTTAGGGTACAGCATGCACTTCGCAGCACAATTGTGAATGGACTGGAAGCCTGAGTGGAAAAGGCCCATCTATAGTAAAGCTTAGTTGGTACCCTATGTGTTTATATTATGTCTGGTAATTCTAGACAAGGTTTGGAAAATACAGTTAGAAGCAAAATTTTCTTCAGCCCCAGAGGAATTAAATAATAACAGAACAGAAAGAAAACTGTTTTATTACACAATTACATGTGAATGTGACATGCATTACAGTCAATTTGCTCAAGAGATTGCAAAGACAGAAAGACAGTCACCATAATTCATCTACAAGTAGAATTTACAGCACCATGTCATACATAGTTCATCCTGAATTCATCTGGTAGCTGGGAAGGCCATCCCTGTATGCTAACTGGTTATAATCAATGACAAAGTAAAGCTTTCACATCTTCATGACTAGAGGTAGTTTTGCAACTTGAACCCCAGGGCCTGCTGAAGGTAGGCTTTGACTCTTCTACAAAAAGTGTTGATTCGGGTGCTATCTTTTTGGCTATTTACATTTTAAAGCAATAGCTCTCTACTCTCTGAGCACTGGGCTAGAACACTCCTGCTTTCCCTCTCTTGGTGGCTAGTGTACTCTCTTGACCCCACCATCTGCCACTGAGGCACAGCCCACAGCACAGGGCTCACAGCTGGAAACTCACATCTTAGGTGAACCCCAATTGCCACAGCAGCACTCCAGTGCCACATCAGACAGTGAAGCCTGAGCAGCAGGAGGAGAGCCTGCAGGCCTCCTGGGTAGAATTGCACCTTCACAATAATAGAAAAGGGAGCACTGTTTCAGCCTCAGTTTTTATTTATAATGGCGGCATGAAAAAAATACTGCTGGATTTTAGCATGAGTCCAGATAGAGATAGCTCTGAGAGTTCTCACTGTGACAGCCCACGTCTTTCACAGACACCACGGAATACTAATAGGGCTTCTGAAACAGATACACAATGCATTAGAGAGAAAAACAGCTCTTATTCTGAGAAAGATTATATTGAGAGAAAAAAGTTAAAAGTGTCTTAAGAAAAAACTGAGATTAGATATAAGATTGATCAAGTCAGCCAGAAAATATTTCCCTAAGAAGAATTTCTCTCCAAACACCCAAAGTGCATAGCTACTCTCAGCAAGAGAAACATGAGCATTATTGAATAAAGGGGGTATATTCTCAGCACAATTTTTTTTTTTTGAGATGGAGTTTCATTCTTGTTGCCCAGGCTGGAGTGCAATGGCATGATCTTGGCTCACTGCAACCTCTGCCTCCTGGGCTCAAGCGATTCTCCTGTCTCAGCCTCCCAAATAGCTGGGACTATAGACACATACCACCACACCTGGCTAATTCTGTATTTTTGGTAGAAACGAGGTTTCACCATGTTGTCCAGGCTGGTCTCAAACTCCTGACCTCAGGTGATCCACCCACCTTGGCCTCCCAAAGTGTTGAGATTACAGGCATGAGCCACAGCGCCTAGCTCTCAGCAGAATTTTAAAAGATTTATCTTCCATCTCTGCTGCTCTCTTATTTCCTAACCATTGAATGTGAGATCTACACTGGAATATATCTGACAACTTCCACCAGCACTTTTTTATAAAAAATTGAAATCTGACTGTGTTAATATAGTAGAATATATTAGAGCTTGCAACATACCTAACTGGAGAGCTATTACAGTTTTTGAGTAGCCATATCACCTGTCTTTATTTATCCTGTAATAGCAGCATACTAATTTGGTAAAATATATGACACTAAAATTATGCCTACCTATAATTTTTCCTATTGGGTAAATTAATAAGCATGTCAGACTAACATCTACTGTAACAATTTAATGGTAAAATTTTTGGGATAGCAGATATGAATATATAAGTATGAATAATTTTATGTACTAGTCATAATGTATGTAAGATTTTTTAAAATTATCTGAACTATAATTCAGTTGAAACACTATATTTCAAAAGTATGAATAACAATATTAAAATAAGGAATTCAATCAAAGTAAATATTGTGGCCTTAAATTTATACTATTCTAGAAAATACTGTTTAATTTACATGAATGCAGGTTGTCTACAAACACTACACATAACTATACTAACTGTACTGAAGCAACCCAAGTACAACAGACTCCACTGTTCAGTTTATACACTGAACTCTTCTGGCTTTCGCAGTGTAAGTATTTCAGCCTGCAAATAATCACCTTGGATAATCGGGTTTCTGCCAAAGAACTTACTCAGGATCTTTTAGTCTTTATTATTCTGTATTGCTAAATTAATCCGATCTTTGTGCTTAACTTTATTAGGCTCTTGAAATAAATTTTACTCTCAACAAATCTGTGTCTACTTTAAAGACTAAAGATAAAAATATATATAATCTTTTGCCAAGAAAAAAGGAAAGCAATGAATCTCAGGTCCCAGATAAAGACAATTCTGAGTCAAAAGAATGACAAAAGGTTTGTTTCATTTCTAATATGATTTACATATATTTCAAAAAGCAGAAGAAATATATACATATAATCTAAACCTTTTTTTAAAAATCAGCAAGTTATCCACCCTTATTTTCACATATGAGAATAAAGCCTCTTATTTCTCATTTATATTTTCTCTTACAAAAGCCAGGTCTCTGGACAAGTTCTTGAACTCTTGGACATCTGAATTTTGCACACTGTGTGCACTTAAAAGAATGTTTATGGGGGGAAAAGCAGAAGAGAGAAAATTGTTATAAAAAAAAACCATGGGTTCACATGAATAAAGCAAATTATTAGAGACCTATGAAGAGACTTAGAATCTGACAGTAATAATCGGGGACTACATCTCACAGGCACTATTGGAGAGATCATTGAAGAAAATCAACAACAATATTAGGACCTGAACTCAACACCTGACCAAATAAATAGTCCTAATAGACATCTACAGAACTCTTCATCTAAAAAATACCATAACATACATTCTTCTCATCACCACATGGCACATACTCTAAAATTGACCACACAATCAGAAATAAAACAATTCTCAGCAAATTCAAAAATCCCAAAACGATACAAGGCACACACACAGTTTACAGCTTAAGAGAAACACAATTCAATACCAATAAAACAACTGGAAACTATACAATTAAATAAAAATTAAATGGCCTACACTTGAATAACTTTTTTGGTAAATAATGAAATTAAGGCAGAAACCAAGAAGTGTTTTGAAACAAATAAGAACAAAAATACAACACACCAGAATCTCTGCAATACAGCTAAGGCAGTGTTAAAAGAAAAATTTATATCATTAAATCCTCAGATCAAAAAGTTAGAAAGATCTCAGTTTAACAACCTGACATCATAAATAAAAGACTGAGAGCAACAAAAGCAAATCAGCCCCTAAGCTAGCAAAAGACAAGAAATAACCAAAATCAGATCTGAACTGAAGGAGATTTAGACATGAAAAACTACAAAATATCAAGAAATCCAGGCATTAAATCTATTTAAAAAAAGTAAATAAACTATGAGCTAGATTAATGAAGATACAAATAAACACAATTAGAAATGACAAAAAGAGACATTACCACTGACCCCACAAAAATATACTGAAGTCTGCTATGCACATAAAAAAAAAACTAGAATAAAAAAATTATTGAACAAATACATCCTCCCAAAACTCAACACACACACACACACACACACACAAAATCAAAGCCCTAAATAGATAGATAAGCTCAAAAAATTGAATTAGTAATAAGTAGCCTACCAACTAAATGAAGCTCAGGACCAAACATACTCACAGCTGAATTCTACCAGATGTACAAATAGAAGCTGATATTATTTCTACCAGAACAATTTCAAAAGATTAAAAAGAAGAAACTCCTCCCCAACTCATTATGTAAGAACAGCAATCATTCTGATACCAAAACCTAACAGAGATAAAACAGAAAAAGGCAACTTCAGGCCAATATCCTTGAAAATTGATGCAAAAATCTTCAACAAACAGCTGGGCCCGGTGGCTCATGCCTGTAATCGCAGCACTTTGGGAGGCCAAGGTGGTTTGATTCCCTGAGGTCAGGAGTTCAAGACCAGCCTGGCCAACATGATGAAACCCCGTCTCTTCTCAAAACAGGAAAAAATTAGCTGGGCATGGTAGCACACACCTGTAATCCCAGCTACTTGAGAGGCTGAGGCAGGAGAATCACTTGAACCTGGGAGTCAGAGGTTGCAGTGAACCAAGATTGCACCACTGCACTCCAGCCTGGATGACACAGTGAGACTCCATCTCAAAAAAAAAAAAGAAATCTTCAACAAACTACTAGCAAACCAAATCCAGCAGCATATCAAAAACCTAACCCACTATGATCAACTATGGTTTATTTTGGGGATTCAAGGTTTGTTCAACATACACGAATCAATAAATGTGATTCATCACATAAACAGAATTAAAGACAGAAATCACAAGATTATCTCAATAGATGCACAAAAAGCCTTCAATAAAATTTAACATTTTTCATGTTAAAAACCCTCAACAAACTAGGCACTGATGGTATACATGTCAAAATAGTAAGTTATCTATGACAAATCCACAGCCAAAATACTGAATGGACAAAACCTGGAAGCATTCCTTCTTGAAAACTGGCACAAGACAAGGATGCCTTCTCTCAACACTCCTATATTCAACATAAAATTGGCAGTCTTAGCCAGAGCAATCAGGCAAAAGATAAAAATAAAAGGCATCCAAACAAAAAGAGAGGAAGTCAAACTATCCCTATTTGCAAACAACATGATTCTACATCTGGAAACCCATATACTCTCAGCAGAAAAGCTCTTTAAACTGACAAACAACTTCAGTAAAGTCTCAGGATACAAAAGAAATGTACAAAAATTAGTAGCAACCCTATATATCAAGAACACCTAGGCCAAATCCGAATCGAAAACACAATCCCATTCACAACTGCCACAGAAAAGAATAACATATCTAGAAATACAGATAACCAGAAAGGTAAAAGATCTCTATGACAAGAATTACAAAACAATGCTTAAAGAAGCCAGAGATGACACAAACAAATGGAAAACCACTTTATGCTCATGAATAAAAAAGATCACTATCATAAAAATGGCCATACTGCTTAAATAAATCTACAGATGTAATGCTAATTCAATCAAACCACCAAAATATTTTTTAACAGAACTAAAAAAACAACTATTTTAAAATTCACATGGAACCAAAAAAGAGCCTGAATAGCCAAGGCAATCATAAGCAAAAACAAGAAAGCTGGAGGCATTACATTACCTGACTTCAAACTACACAACAGTGCTACAGTAAACAAAGCAACATGGTACTGGTACAAAAACAAACTCATAGGCCAATGCAACAGAATAGGGAGCCCAGAAATAATGCCACACACCTAAAACCATCTGATCTTCAACAAAGGTGACAACAGGAATGTGGGAAGAATTTCCTATTTAATAAATGGTGCCAGAATAACTAGCTAGCACTATGTAGCAGACTGAAACTGGACCCTTTTATAACACCATATAAAAAAATCAACTCAAGGTAAATGAAAGACTTAAATGTTAATCTTAAAAATTATAAAAAAAAAAAAAAACAAAAAACCCTGGAAGATAAGAAGTGCCATTCTAGACATAGAAACTGTCAAAGATTTCATGATGAAGATATCAAAAGCAATTGCAAAAGTTGACAAATGGGACCTAAATAAACTAATGATCTTTTTTCACAGCAAAGGAAACTAGCAACACAGTAAAGAGACACCCTACAAAATAATAGGAAATATTTGCAAACTATGCTTCTGACAAAGGTTTACTATCCAGAATCCGTAAGAACTAAAACAAGTTTACAAGAAAAAAAAAAACTAACTTAAAAGAAGACCAAAAAAAAAACATGAAAAAGATGTTTGTCTTCAAAAGGAGACAAACATGTGGCTAACAAGCATATAAAAAAATGCTCATCACTAATCGTTAGAGAAATGCAAAAGAAAACCACAACAAGAAATCATCTCAAACCAGTGAGAATGGCAATTATTATAAGTCAACCATTGTGAAAAGCAGTGTAGTGATTCCTCAATAAACTAAAAATAAAATTACCATTTGACCCAGTAACCTCACAACGGGGTTTATACCTAAAAATATATAAATTATTCTATCATAAAGACACATGCACAATCACATTCGTTGCAGTACTATTCACAATAGCAAAGACATGGAATCAACCTAAATGCCTATCAATGGTAGACTGGATACAGAAAATACGGTATGGTTGGGCATGATGGCACATGTCTGTAATCCAGCACTTTGGGGGCTGAGCCAGGTGGATTGCCTGAGCTCAGGAGTTTGAGACCGGCATGGACAACATGGCAAAATCCCATCTATTAAAAAGAAAAATTAGCTAGGCATGGTGGCACAAGCCTTCAGTCTTAGCTACTTGAGAAGCTTAGATAGAAGAGGATTGTTTGAGCCTGAGTGGGTGAGTTTCAGCGAGCCAAGATCACACCACTGCACTGCAGCCTGGGAAAGAAAGTGAGACCCTGTCTCCAAAAATAACAAAAAATAAAAAACCTAATAAAAACAAAATATGGGCCGGGTGCAGTGGCTCACACCTGTAATCCCAGCACTTTGGGAGGCCAAGGCGGCAGATCACCTGAAGTCAGGAGTTCAAGACCAGCCTGGCCAACATGGCAAAACCCCATCTATACTAAAAATACAAAAATTAGCTGAGTGTGGTGGCACACGCCTGTAATCCCAGCTACTTGGGAGGCTGTGGCAGAACTGCTTGAACCCGGGAGGTGGAGGTTGCAGTGAACTGAGATCATGCCACTGCACTCCAGCCTGTGTGATACAGTGAGATTCCATATCAAAACAAACAAACAAACAAATATGGTACATAAACATCATGACATCATGAAATACTGTGTGGCCATTAAAAAAAAAAAAAAGAGTATGTCCTTTGCAGCAACATGGATGAAGCTGGAGATCACTATTCTTAGAAAACTGATACAGAAACAGAAAACCAAATGCATGTTATTATTTGTAAGTAAGAGATAAATAAGAACACATGAACACAGAGGGGAAAAAAGACACTGAGGCCTAGTTGAGGGTGGGAGGACTAAAAGGGTCAGAAAAAGTACATTTTTGGTGCTATGATTAGTACTGCAGTGACAAAATAATCTCCACACCAAACTCCCATGACACAATTTTAGCTGTATAACAAACCTGCACATGTACCCCTGAACCACCCAAAAATAAAAGTTAAAAGAAAAAAATCCCTCGATTGGAGAGAGTGCAATGCAGGTGGAAGGACTGGTTTGTGCTATAGATAGTGGCCCAGGTGGGGCTGTACTCTGATTCATTTCTGGGTCCATGCAGCCAGATAAGATTATGAATCCTAGGCTGGTGGAGAAAACAGGATGCTACTGCAGATTCCGTGTCTGAAAATAGGGATATGCCAGGAGACTTGTAGACACTTTTGTAGGTTTTTGGCCAAAAAAACCACTAGGATCAAAAATGCTGTGGTAAAATTCCTGAGGGTGGTGCCTTGTCCAGAGAGGGGTGTGGACACATCAATGTCTAGTGGGTGTTTGTGAGTGGGTGGAAATCCTCTGCTGGCAGCTGTGGCAAAAGGGGGTTTGTCATCAGATCTCCTTTAAGTTTTCAGTCTTCTGTCACCCTGGGAGGAGACCTGGAATCAAAGAACAAGGGGCAGTGTGACAGCCTGTGTAGAGGAGAGCAGAGCTTCCCATTCCCAGACACCCGGAGTTTCATTCTAGGCCAGGAGTCTGTGATATCTTTCTTCTGGCACCAAATCTGCAGAGTTTGATGAACACCAACAATTCTCCAACAGCAACTCATTGTCTAACACTTGAATTCTGACACCACCCAGAGTCAGCACAGACCCTGATTCAGGGCTCAGTCCCACAACATTGTCCTCACTGCAGATGCCAGTCACAAACCCCATGGGCTCATCTATGCTTCTGACCTACTGTTTAAAAATTGGGGACTCCCATAACCTTTTTGAAATTCAGTAATCTGATACAGCTACTCACAGAACTCAGCAGAACACTGTAGTTATATTCACTGGATTCAAATAAAATATACAACCCCCAAAAAGTCAAATGGAAGAAAAGTATAGAACCAAGAAAAAAGGTGGGAAAAGATGAAGCATATAGATAACAAACAGCTAGGATTAATAAAATTCTCTATCCTCTGTGTTCTCCAGGAACACTTATGAAAAGAAACACCCTTCCCATTGTGACTTAGATGGTGCTCTCTTTTCTTACCTACTACACAGCCAGGAAAACACTCTGCATATTTTCTTTTCTCGTTAAAAAAATCAGCTGTATTTGTCTTCAGTGGTCAACATAAAATACTTCTTAATCAAACTTCACTTATTTTCTTCCCACAGGCTCCTGAACTCTGAGCTACTCTCAGTCCGAGCCACCATACAACCTCATTTTATGCTACTGCAGATTCAGTGTCTGAAGAACACTCCTAAGAACACACTGACTTCAGGGTAAAACATTCTCTGATCTAAAATCTGATTATTTCACCCTTCATTTAAATATTCCCCTCACCTTCTTTCTAATCTTATTTGTTTTCTCTAGGAAAAAAAGGCCTTTTCTACCTAATCTTTATAATCCTTAAAGATCTTATAGTTGGTACTTCCTCCTGTTGCAATACTCCTTTGGAATTCTTTTTTTTTTTTAATGTACATCTAGCTGGTTATTTTAAAACCTCTCAAAACTGCCTCAAAACAGTAACAATTTTATCTTCAATAAGACACTCCCAAACCCCTTCTATCTTAACCTTAACTGCATCTGCCTGTGGGGCCCCAGCTTTCCAGGGCTCTGTAGCTTCTCTCACTATAGAGGCTTCTTCCATGGCTGCGGTAAGCAGGCTGGGACATCTGCAGGAAAGGCTTTCCAGAAGGAACTAAATGGGCCTTTAATAACCTCCGTTTGCTAGCTCAAAATTAACCTTAGCTTGCAGTCATTGGGCTCAAGCTTTAATTACATGTCAGAGTCATTCACTTAGTTTTTGAAACTAAGTGTTTGAAAAATCCAGCAAAATGATTCAAAAACAGTGTTCATATAAGAAAATTTTAAGGTGCTTATCTTTTGTACCTCAGTAAGAGAAGCAAATGTATTTATTTCTTTTGGACAATAAAGCATTATTTTATTTTTTGTATTAAAAATCATGAGGTAAACAGTTATATGGGAACACTTCTAGGAGGTACCTAGTTTCATCACATAAAATTTACCATTAAACTCAGAAATCAAAATAACAGGATATAGAACAAAGATACTTACTTTTGCAAATTTACCCTGCAAAAAAAGAAACTGATGTTTTCACGAATCTATGTAACTCACCAATTATCTACCACATTTTCTTGTGGAAATATATTAATTCTCTATAGCCAAAACGGAAGAAAAAATGTTCTTATTTTTTTCCCAAACATTCCAAAAGCTAGATGGAATTGTTTGAAATCACTCAGCTATAAAAAGCACACCTGAGGGCAGGGTGCAGTGGCTCACACCTGTAATCTCAGCACTTTGGGAGGCCGAGGCAGGTGGATCATGAGGTCAGGAAATCAAGACCATCCTGGCTAACATGAACACCGTCTCTATTAAAAATACAAAAAAATTAGCTGGGTGTGGTGGCGGGTGCCTGTAGTCCCAGCTACTTGGGAGGCTGAAGCAGGAGAATGGTGTGAACCTGGGAGGCGAAGCTTGCAGCGAGCCGAGATCCCACCACTGCACTCCAGCCTGGGTGACAGAGCGAGATTCTGTCTCAAAAAAAAAAAAAAAAAGAAAAGAAAAGAAAAGAAAACCACACCTGAGAAAACTCCTAAATTCACTCTGAGAAAGAAAAAGGTGAATGAGAATTTTCAACAAATGAAATATATAATTAGATATTATTTTTTGATACTCACCTTTTTATGCCCTTTGTAAATATTTTCTTACCTTTCAAGCCCTACTAATAAGATGCAATTTACAGTTAAAAAACTGAGGTCAGCCGGGCACAGTGGCTCACACCTGCAATCCCAGCACTTTGGGAGGCCAAGGCAGGCAGATTACTTGAGGTCAGAATTTTGAGCTCAAACAGCCTGGCCAACATGGTGAACCCCCATCTCTACTAAAAATACAAAAAGTAGCCAGGTGTGGTGGTGGGCACCTGTAGTCCCAGCTGCTTGGGAGGCTGAGGCATGAGAATCACTTGAACTTGGGATGCAGAGGTTGCAGTGAGCCGAGATTGCACCACCGCACTCCAGCCTGGGCGACAGAGGAAAACACTGTCTAAAACAAAAAAGTCCGTGTGCGGTGGCTCACGTCTGTAATCCCAGCACTTTGGGAGGCCAAGGTGGGTGGATCACAAGGTCAAGAGTTCGAGACCAGCCTGGGCAATATGGTGAAATTCCATCTCTACCAAAAATACAAAAATTAGCCAGGCATGTGGGTGCACGCCTGTAGTCCCAGCTACTTGGGAGGCTGCGGCAGAAGAATTGCTTTAATCCGGGAGGCGGAGGTTACAGTGAGCAGAGATCATGCCACTGCACTCCAGCCTGGGCGACAGAGGGAGACTCCATCTCAAAAAAAAAGAAGAAGAAAAAAAACTAAGGTCAAAATAAGTGAACAAATCATTTAATCGTTTCAAGGTAGAGATATGTCTGATTCATGTGTCAAGTCAGGTCATCCAATTACTGAGAGATTCAGCCACCCCATCCTGTTCACTTAAGTGCTCAATAATCATTCTCTCAGGAGACTCTGAACTATGCCCCAGTGAGTGCCCCAGGTACATTTTACTTTGCAAGTTCTTGCACCATCTCACTGGGGTCAGTTTCTTTTTCTTTGTCTTTGGAGTGCTATTTTTTTCCACAAACTTTTTACCATTTTTCTTTCACTATTTTTCTGTCCCCTAGGAGAATCCAGAGGCAAAAATTATTTTGGTTTTCCCTTCAATACCGGCATCTGATTGTCTGAACGGCAATGTGTCTCCAAGAAATGGAAGCTGGGTTGGGTAAAGACAATACTAATACCTCAAGGGGTTAGCTTTCCAAAAAAACAGGGCACCAGTAGATGCCTCTCAGCCCCAGGGCATTCACCTGCTCTCCTGAAAGGCTACATTCCATACCTCGGGTTGTCCTACAGGAGATGAGAGGCTACACTCCATACCTCAGGTTGTCTTATGAAAGATAAGAGGCTACACTCCATACCTCAGGTTGACTTATGGGAGATGAGAGGCTACACTCCATACCTCTGGTTGTCTTATGGGAGATGAGAGGCTACACTCCATACCTCTGGTTGTCTTATGGGAGATGAGAGGCTACACTCCATATCTCTGGTTGTCTTATGGGAGAAAATGACCCAGGAGCTGATATTCACTAGATACTCTTGCAGACACAGCCATGGCCAGTATCTTGGTTTTTCCCCAGACAGTACTGAATCTCAGGTCCAAGGAAAAAACTGAAGGGTGGCTGAGGACACGTCTCCCTATAACTTTTCCAAAGGGAAACCCTGACCCAAAAAACATTCTGATAAGATATCTGTGTCTAGGGAAACTAGAAGAAAAAAACATTTACAAACAGAAAACAAATCTTTTTATATGTGCCATCAAATGCTTTGTCAAAAAATGATTACAATAGGTATCAAAATGTACACTAAAGGACAAATAGTTGATCATGTGAATAAGGGAGGGGAAATTGGCATTTGGGAATGTCAGAAGGAACTGGAAATTAAGTATTTTACTGCAAGTCAGAGTCAGGCTGGAGAAATAGGGGGTGGCAGATAGACTTGAGGCCCTGCTTGGGACACATGTGAAAAATGCAAGGAAACAGCAGTTCCCTGTGGGGTGTGAAAATAATTAAGTGGCTGGTAGTTAGACTGAGGAGGCTCTATTTCCTAATTTCTACTTTTAAAAAATCTAATTCGGCCAGGCGTGGCGGCTTACACCTGTAATCCCAGCACTTTGGGAGGCCGAGGCGGGTGGATCACTTGAAATCAGGAGTTCGAGACCAGCCTGACCAACACGGTGAAACCCCGTCCCTATTAAAAATACAAGTGGCACATGCCTGTAATCCCAGCTACTTGGGAGGCTGAGGCAGGAGAATCGCTTGAACCTGGGAGGCGGAGAGTCCAGTTAGCCTAGATGGCGCCATTGCACTCCAGCCTGGGCGACAAAGTGAGACTTGGTCTCAAAAAAAAAAAAAAAAAAATCTAATTCAAATGTATTTTTTTTAAATTACTACATTGGGGGAAAAAAATTCAGGCTTAACACACTATAAACTGCCAATTAACCTCTGATTACATAACCAAGAAATTTCCATCTTCATGTTACAAATTAAGAAACCATGAGGCTGGGCGCCATGACTCACACCTATAATCCCAGCACTTTGGGAGGCTGAGGCGGGTGGATCATGAGGTCAGGAGATCGAGACTACCCTGACTAACACGGTGAAACTCCGTCTCTACTAAAAAATACCAAAAAATTAGCCGGGGGTGTTGGCGGGCACCTGCAGTCGCAGCTACTCGGGAGGCTGAGGCAGGAGAATGGCGTGAACCCGGGAGGCGGAGCTTCCAGTGAGCCAAGATTCCGCTACTGCACTCCAGCCTGGGCGACAGAGCGAGACTCCATCTCAAAAAAAAAAAACAAAAAAAAACAAAAAAAAAAACCAGGAAACTACATAACTGTACCTAACCAATTATTGAATGTGGTTTTCTTCATTATGCACCTTATAAAACTCTTTCCATCAAACCCCTTCAATAGACCATAAACTACAATCCATAGTTGGGTGCTCTACAATTTTGGAATCACTCTTAAATTATTTAATATTTTTTCGGCGACTTCCATAAATTTTTAATGGGAGAATACAGGAACTGGGAGCCTCACGGACCAAAGCTCTTCCCATTCATGAACCCACACCTCAAGTCAGGATTCTCCTCTGACTACCCTCCCACAGTCCGTGCACAATCTGGGAGAGACTCCGCGCTGAGGGTGCAGAGCTGCCCCAAGAGGGCTCCAGGCCAGGGCACAATCACAGCGCAGGGAAGAGACAGGACGCCCGGCGGCCCGCGCAGCCGCCATCTTATGGCTGAAGGGGACTGAGGTCGAGCTAGGCAAGGAGAACTTGTGGAGCTGACTGCGGGTAGGCTTGAGTCCCGCCACAGCCACTTCCCGCCGGTTCCAACCAGCCCAGGCCACTCTCTCAGTGTGTCGGACCCGGCACACTCACCATTTCTAGGCTTCCAGGGGGTCCTGGCGACTTAGTTGTGGATCTCCCAATACCTGCAGGTCATAGGGCCACAGAGGCTGGGACTCTAGGAGCAGTAAGGACAAGGCCTTTACCTCCGGCTGCAGCGAGAGACAAAGGACCGACCACATCCCGGAAGCCGACCTGTCCCCCCCCAGCTGCCTGCCTGATTGGACATTCCCAGCCCAGCATCCCTGATTGGATAATGTTTAAGGCCCCGCCCTTTCAGGCCCTGAGTGACAGAAGATGTGATCAGATGCTGGGCTGAATGAAGAAAGAGAGCCAACGTAGGCTGCAGCCTTTTCAGGCAGGGCTTCCTCCCTGAGCTGAGCCAGGCCTACCCCAGAGCATGGGAAAATTCTATCTCTTCTTTATTCTCTCTTTTTAAATGTATTTGAAATGTGAACAAATATATTTTACTGTCATGTTAATAATACATAAAACTTTTGTACAAGAGTAAATCAATTTTTACTTTAGTAATAGTGTATTATCAATACTAAAGGCTGAGTGCAGTGGCTTACGCCTTTAATCCCATCAGTTTGGGAGGCCGAGGCGGGTGGATCACCGGAGGTCAGAAGTTCAAGATCAGCCTGGTTGACATGGTGAAACCCCTTCTCTACTAAAAATACGAACATTAGTCAGGTGTGGTGGTGGGCGCCTGTAATCCCAGCTATTCAGGAGGCTGAGGCAGGAGAATCATTTGAACCCGGGAGGTGGAGATTGCAGTGAGCCAGGATCAAGCCATTGCACTGCGGCCTGGGCAACAAGAGTGAAACGCCAGCTCAAAAACATGGGCAACAAGAGTGAAACGCCATCTCAAAAAACAAAACAACAAAAAAGCTAAACCTAATGTTAGTAAAACCTTATAAATAAATCCATGAAATTTGTCATTTTTGAACACTCTAGATTTTCATATATATTTTACAATCTCATATATAACTTTTTCTATTTTATTTTAATAGCCTTTTTTTTTTAACTTGAAACAACCTTAAGCTTTTTTTTGAGACGAGTCTTGCCAGGCTAGAGTGCAATGGCATGATCTCAGCTCACTGCAACCTCCCTCTCTGGGTTCAAGCGATTCTCCTGCCTCAGCCTCCCGAGTAGCTGGGATTACAGGCGCCCACCACCACACCCAGCTAATTTAGCATGGTAGCCTCACCCTGTAGTACCAGCTATTCGGGGGCTAAAGTAGGAGGATTGCCTGAGCCCAGGAGGTTGTGGCTGCAGTGAGCCCTGATCAAGCCACTGCACTCCATTCTGGGTGACAAGAGTGAGACTCTTTCTAAAAAAAAAAAAAAAAGCCAAAACATATAAACTTAAACTTATGGGAGTTTGGGGGTTTTTATTTTTGTCTTAAATTATTATATTTCAATAGTTTTGGGGTACATGTAGTATTTGGTTACATGGATAAGTTCCTAAATCTTTTCTGAGATTTAGGTGCACCAATCTCCCAAGCAGTGTGCACTCTACCCAATGTGTAGTCTTTCATCCCTCACCCCCTCTCCTACCCTTCCCACTGAGTGCCCAGAGTCCACTATATAATTCTTTTTTTTAATTATATTTATTTATTGAGACAGAGTTTCGCTCTTATTGCCCAGGCCGGAGTACAGTGGCGCGATCTCAGCTCACCGCAACCTCTGCCTCCCAGGTTCAAGCGATGCTCCTGCCTCAGCCTTCCCGAGTATCTGGGATTATAGGCATGTGCCACCATGCCCGGCTAATTTTGTAGTTTTAGTAGAGACAGGGTTTCTCCATGTTGGTCAGGCTTGTCTCGAACTCCCAACCTCAGGTGATCGCCCACCTCAGCCTCCCAAAGTGCTGGGATTACAGGCGTGAGCCACCGTGCCCATCCCCATTACATAATTGTTATGCCTTTGCATCTTCATAGCTTAGCTCCCGTTTATAAGTGAGGAAATACAATATTTGGGTTTGTATCCCCTAGTTCTTTTTTCATTTTTTTTTTTTTGAGATGGAGTTTGCTGTGATTACAGGCATAAGCCACCGTGCCTGGCCTATTTTTTGATGTTTTAATTATGGTCTTTTCTGTTTGTTTGTTTGTTTGTTTGTTTGTTTTTGACATGGAGTCTGTCACACAGACTGGACTGCAGTGGTGCGATCTTGGCTTACTGCAACCTCCACCTCCCGGGTTCAAGCAATTCTCCAGCCTCAGCCTCTGGAGTAGCAGGGATTACGGACACACTCCATCGCGCCCTGCTAATTTTTGTATTTTTAGTAGAGGTGAGGTTTTACCATGTTGGCCAGGCTAGTCTGGAACTCCTGACCTCAGGTGATCCACCCGTCTTGGTCTCCCAGAGTGCTGGGATTACAGGCATGAGCCACCATGCCCAGCCAATGATGGTCATTCTTGCAAGAGTAAGGTGATATCACATTGTGGTTTTGATTTGTATTTCCCTAATCATTAATCATTAGTGATGTTCAGCATTTTTTTTTAATGTTTGTTGGCCATTTGTATATCTTCTTTTGAGAATTGTTTAAGTCCCATCTGTCTTTGTTTTTGTTGCATTTGCTTTGAGGTTCTTGGTCATGCACTCTTTGCCTAAGTCAATGCCTAGGAGAGTTTTTTCAATGCTTTAGAATTCGGGTAGTTTCAGGTCTTAGATTAAAGTATTTGATCCATCTTGAGTTGATTTTTGTATAAGGTGAGAGATGAAGATACTTTTTTTTTATTTTTATTTTTTTGAGACGGAGTCTCGCTCTGTTCCCAGGCTGGAGTACAGTGTCATGATCTCGGCTCACTACAACCTCTGCCTCCCGGGTTCAAGCAATTCTCTGCCTCAGCCTCCCAAGTAGCTGGGATTACAGGCACCTGCCACCACACCCAGCTAAATTTTTTTTTTTTTTTTTGTATTTTTAGTAGAGACGGGGTTTCACCATCTTGGCCAGGCTGGTTTTGAACTCCTGACCTCGTGATCCACCCACCTTGACCTCCCAAAGTGCTGGGATTACAGGTATAAGCCACTGCACTCAGCCGAAGATCCAGTTTTATTCTTCAATATGTGGCTTCCCAATTATCCCAGTACCATTCTATTCAATAGAATAGGGTGTTATTTCCCCACTTCATATCTTTGTTTACTTTGTCAAAGATCAGTTGACTGTAAGTATTTGGGTTTATTTCTGGTTTCACTATTCTGTTTCATTGGTCTTCATATCTATTTTTATACCCATACAATGCTGTTTTGGTAACTATAACCTTGTAGTATAGTTTGAAGTCAGATAACGTGATGTCTTCAGATTTTTTTGTGTGTTTTTGATTTTGTTGTTTTGTTTTGTTTTGTTTTGTTTTCCTAGTCTTGCTTTGACTATGGAGGCTCTCTTTTTATTTTATATAAATTTTAGGATTTTTTTTTTTTTAGTTTTAGGATTTTTTTTTTTTGGTATCCTGAAATTTTACTGCATTTATGTATCAGATCGAAAAGTTTTTTGTTTTGTTTTTTTTTCTTTTTGAGACAAGGTCTTACTCTGTCACCCAGGCTGGAGTGCAGTGGCATGATCTTGGCTCACTGCACCCTCTGCATCCCAGGTTCAAGTGATTCTCCTGTCTCAGCCTCCCTTGTAGCTGGGATTACAGCCACTTGCCACTGCAACCGGCTAATTTTTGTATTCTTAGTAGAGATGGGGTTTTACCATGTTGGCCAGGCTGGTCTTGAACTCCTGACCTCAAGTGATCCACCTGCCTCCATGTCCCAAAGTGCTGGGATTACAGGCTTGAGCCACTGCATCCAGCCCTAAAAGCTTTTTTAGTTGAGTTTTAGGGTTTCCCAGGTACACAATTATATCATTGGTAAACAGTGACAATTTGACTTCCTCTTTACCAATTTAGATTCTGTTTATTTTTTGCTTTACTCTGATTGCTTTGGCTAAGACATCCATTACTGTGTTGAATAGAAGTGGTGAGAGTGGGCATTATTGTCTTGTTCCAGTTCTCAGAAAAAATCCTTTCAACTTTTTCCTGTTCAGTGTAATGTTGGCTGTTTATCACAGATAGATTTTTTTTTTTTCTCGGATGGAGTCTCGCTCTGTCACCCAGGCTGGAGTGCAATGTCAGGATCTCTGCTCACTGCAATCTCCACCTCCCAGACTCAAGCGATTCTCCCGCCTCAGCCTCCCCAGTAGCTGGCACCACAGGCACCCACCATCATGCCTGGCTAATTTTTGTATTTTTGAACAGACGAGGTTTCACCATGTTGGCCAAGCTGATCTCAAACTCCTGACCTCAAGTGATCTGCCCACCTCAGCCTCCCAAAGTGCTGGGATTACAGGCATGAGCCACCACGCCCAGCCTGTCATAGATGGTTTTTATGACCTTACAATATGTTCCCTCTATCCCGATTTTGCTGAGGATTTTAATCATAAAGTGATGCTGGATTTTGCCAAATGATTTTTCTGCATATATTGAGATAATCATATAATTTTTGGTTTTAATTCTGTTTATTTGGTGTATAACATGTATTGACTTACCTATGTTAAATCATCTCTGCATCCCTGGCATAAAATGTTCTTGATTATGGTGTACTATCTTATTAATATGTTGCTGTGTTTGGTTAGCTAGTATTTTATGGAAGATTTTTGCATTTATGCTCATCAGGAACATTGGTGTGTAGTTTTCTTTTATTATGTCTTTTCATGATCTTGGTATTAGAGTGATACTGGCTTCATAGAATAATTTAGGAAGGATTCCCTTTTTCTCTATCTTTTGGAATAGTTTCAGTAGGACTGGTACCAATTCTTTGAATTTTGGATAGAATTGAGCTATGAATCCATCTTGTCCTGGACGTTTTTTGTTGGCAGTTTTTTTGTTTTTTTTTTCTTGAGTCTTGCTCTGTCACCCAGGCTGGAGTGCAGTGGTGCGATGTTGACTCACTGCAAACTTGCCTCCTGGGTTTAAGTGATTCTCCTGCCTAAGCCTCCCAAGTAGCTGGGATTACAGGCACAAACCACCATACCTGGCTAATTTTTGTATTTTTAGTAGAGATGGGGTTTTGCCATGTTGATCAGACTGGTCTCAAACACCTGACCTCAAGTGATCCCCCCACCTCGTCCTACCAAAGTGCTAGGATTACAGGCATGAGCCACTGAACCCAGCTGGCAATGTTTTATTACTAGTTTAATCTTGCTACTTGTTATTGGTGTGTTCAGAGTTTTTATTTCTTCCTGATTTAATCTAGGAGGGTTGTATATTTCCAGGAATTTATCAAACTCCTCTAGGTTTTCAAGTTTGAGCATGTAAAGGTATTCGTAGCAGCTTTGAATGATCTTTTATTTCTAATTGAGCATATTTGGATCTTCTTTCTGCTTTTCTGGGTTAATCTTACTAATAGTCTATCAGTTGGATTTATCTTTTCAAATAACTAGCTTATTGTTTTATCTTTTATATTTTTTAAAATTTCAAATTTATTTAGTTCTTCTCTGATCTTTGTTATTATTTTTTTTTCCTGCTGGGTTTGGGTTTGGTTTGTTCTTGTTTCTCTTGTTCCTTGAGGCTAAACAATCTCAGGTTGTTTATTGTGGTTTTTTGAACTTTTTGATGTATGTATTTAATGCTATGAACTTTCCTCTTAGCACTGCTTTTGCTATATCCCAGATGTTTTAATATGTTGTGTCACTATTATTCAATTTAAATAATTATTTAATTTCCATCTTGATTTCATTGTGGAACCAATTATTCATGAGCAGTTTATTTAATTTTCATGTATTTGTATGGTTTTGAGTGTTCCTATTTGAATTGATTTCTAATTTTATTCCACTGTGGCCTAAGACAGTACTTGATATAATTTTAATATTCTTAAATGTATTCAGGGGCTGGGCATGGTGGCTCATGCTTTAATCCCAGCACTTTGGGATGCCAAGGCAGGTGGATAACCTGAGGTCAGGAGTTCAAAACCAGCCTGGTCAACATGGTGAAACCCCATCGCTACTAAAAATACAAAAATTAGGCAGGCATGGTGGCACGTGGCTGTAATCCCAGCTACTCAGAAGGCTGAGGTAGGAGAATCCCTTGAACTTGGGAGGCAGAGGTTGCTGTGAGCTGAGATTGCACCATTGCACTCCAGCCTTGGTGACAGAGCAAGACTGTCACAAAAAAAAAAACATCAGACTTGTCTTTTGGCCTATTATATGGTCTATCTTGACGAATGTTTTATGTGCTGATGAAAAGAATGTATATTCTGCAGTTGTTGGGTAGAATATTCTGTAAATCTCTGTTAAGTCCATTTGTTCTAAGGTGTAGTTTAAGACCATTGTTTTTTGTTTGTTTGTTTGTTTGTTCATTTGACTTTCTGTCTTGATGATATGTCTAATGCTGTAAGTAAAGTAAAAAAGTCCCCCAATATTTTTATGTTGTTGTCTCTCTCATTGCATTTCTTAAGGGACAACTTAGGTGAAACAAGAAAATTTATACTTCTGAAGCACAGAACTAACATTTTAGGCTAAAATATATTTTTTTTTCTTTGAGATGGAGTCTCACTCTGTCGCCCAAGCTGGAGTGCAGTGGTGTGATCTTGGCTCACTTGCAACCTCCACCTCCTGGCTCAAGTGATTCTCCTGCCTCAGACTCCCGAGTAGCTGGGACTGCAGGCACCTGCCACCACGCATGGCTAATTTTTGTGTTTTTTAGTAGAAACAAGGTTTCACCATATTGGCCAGGCTGGTTTCAAACTCCTGACCTCAGGTGATCTGCCTGCCTCGGCCTCCCAAAGTGCTGGGATTACAGGTGTGAGCCACTGTGCCTGGCCTTAAATGTACTGTTTATGTTTTTTTTAATATATAAGATTAAATGATTTGCAAACAGCAACTTTTTATTTATTTGTCTTCAATTTCAATGGCTTTAAACAATTTTTTTGCCTAGTTCTTCTGCCATGTACTTCCAGGTTTATGTTAAAGTAGAAGCATTGACAATGGGGACAATATAGTTTTGCATTGCATTGGTTTTTGTAAATTTCGTGGAGCAAAAGCCTGTTCAAGTTTATATAACCTGGTTACAAGGGGTAAAAATCTTCTGTTGGGCCCCCATATTTATAGGATGTCCTCTTTATTTGTAATAGAGAGAGGTGGTAGACGCAGCAAAGCAGCTGCGTCTGCATAGGATTTACCTTTAGTTGGCTTGTTACAAAAGGCTTGGGTAGTTGTAATTCCCATTTTATTATTGAACAGATTGAATATCCTTCAGGACTTTCATCTGTAGAGCAGACACTAGGGGAAGTTGTTGCAGTCAGATCTGCATATGGTGGGGCTTACATCAGGATGTGGATGAGGATGCCTTTCACCAAGTACTAGAGAGGGTCTTCCCAGGTCACTGTGTGGGATTCTACCTAGGCAGAATTGGCCATAAACTGTGGATTGGAGTTAGAACTAAAACATTAAACTGTATGGCTACAAATGGGTGTCTTCCTCCAGGCCTCTGGAAGGGCAGGAGCTCTCCCAGGCTGTGGCTGGGAGGAGTTTGGAATGGTTATAGGATAAGTTCAGAATTCTCAGTGGGAGCAAGTTGAGTTGGCTATTTTTTGGGTTGTGGCCAAGAACAGAAATCCTGTAGTTTGCCACCTTAGTGGAAGCCTGTCTCCTGAAAAGAATGTTCCTCAATCTTGGGCTTTAGCAGAGTTTCACAACTCCGTCCCTGGATCTCAAAGCTCTTTTGAAGGTACTTGTTTTAGAGATGAAGTCTTTCTACATAACACAGGCTGGTCTTGAAATCTTGGCCTGAAGAAATTCTTCAACCTGAATGTCTTATGTAGCTATCATTACAGATATGAGCCAGGATGCCTGGATCTCTCATAAACACATTTTTGTCAGGGCTGGCTCACAGTTTTCTTGCTGTCGGGGGATAAGAAAATAGGTCACCTTTTTTTTTTTTTTTAATTTTACTGATGTCGCTCTCCCTATACATTTTTACTTTGTATTTTCTATTTCAAATTTCTCTGTTATTTTAGATTCAGACATTTAGGATAATATGTTAGAATTTACATGTTATGCCTGAAATAAATTAGATTATTAGTAGGCATTCCTTATTTACTAAAATATTTAGTTATAAATTTAAGTTTGCTGCAGGCAGAAAGGAATTATATGATTTCCATTCACTTTCTTCAGCCTATATTTAAATAATAAAATAAGTTCTTCCCTGATAATTGTTTTATATATCAGAGGCTTTAATTATATTCTGCAGACTTTTTTTTTAATTTAACAAAGTAAGACTATTCTTTGCTTCTAAAGTTAAATTACAGCAGTTTCATTTTGTGTAAGAATAGCACATATTCTTTAAGAATATATGTAGCATATATTGTGTAAGAACAGCATATATAACGATGAAATTTACCTCTAGTTTTCTTTAGTGCTTATTTATTAAAAGCTTATCATTAGAATCTTCTATTTATGATTATACTGCAATTTCTCTTAAGTTTTACTGCCATGCAGTGCATGCCGATGACTCAAAATACCTGCCTTCCATGAGTACACAGACACAGTCAAATATTGTAGTTATCTAGACAAATTTTTGTAATGGTACATCAATGTTGCATACTAGATCTGATGAGTAAACATTTCTGTTATTATTATTTTGCAGTTCTATATGTGTGCTTTTTAGCATCAGTTTCTTAATATCAGTGAATTTTTTTTGTTTTACGTATTATAATTCTAGACAATTTGCAATTCTGTTTGTACACTTTAAGTCAATGTGGGGTTTAATTGAGAAATAAATTAGCCATATGTCTATCACAATCAGATTATATATTTGTGTGTTTTTATCTATAAATATGACTCCAATTATGGTTATGGCTTATCTTGTATATATTCTTTCTTAGCTGATTTTCAGTGGTTGTTTTATCTTGTCTAAGTGAGTAGTTGTGGAAATAATCTTATTTTTGCCTTGTGTTTAATAATGAATATATATTTTCTTTGTGTGAGAGAAACACTTTTGTGATTTGAAGGTAATTCTAGAAAAGATTTATAATTCTTCATTTAGTTTTTCTTCTAAAATAATTTTTGTAAAAACAGATAACATAAAATTGATTCTCTAAAATCTATTTAAGTGTACATTTTATGGCCAGGCATGGTAGTGGCTCACCTCTGTGATCCCAGAAATTCGAGAGGTCAAAACAGAAGGATCACCTGAGCCCAAATGTTTGAGATCAGCCTGGGAAACATATAAAGACCTGCTGTATCCAAAAAAATTTTAAAATAACAAGCCATGGTGGTGTGCACCTGTGGTTCCAGCAACCTGGGAGATCAAGGGAAAAGGAGTACTTTATCCTGGGAGTTTGAGGCTGAAGTGAGCCATAATTTTGCCACTACACACCAGTTTGGGTGACAAAGTGAGACCCTCTGTCAAAAAAAAAAGCTGTGGATTTCAGGCACGTTAAAGTATATTCACCTGGTTATGCAAAAGGCTTCTAGAGGTTTTACATCTTGTAAAACTAATACTCAATACCCACTAAGTAACAACTGCCCATTTTACCCTCTCTCCAGCCCTTGGCAAATATCTTTCAGCTTTCTGTTTTTATGAGTTTGGCTATTTAACTTATCTCAGGTAAATGAAGTAATGTAGTATTCATCATTTTGTTACTGGTTTATTTCATGTGACATAGTATTTTCAAAGTTTATCTTAAAATGTGACAAAATTTTCTCTTTTAAGGCTGAATGATATTCCATGTATGTGTATGTTAAATTTTTTGATGTATTTATAAATCAAGGGACATATAGATTACTTCAGCCTTTTGGCTTTTGTGAAATCTGGTACAATAAGCATAAATGTTTACATGTCTCCTCCAGGTTCTGTGTTGCATACTTTGGAAATCAATTTATAAATAAGATTGTTGTAATTGATTACAATTTTATTTTTAATTATCTGAGGAACATTTATAACATTTTAAAATAATGGCTGCATCTTTGTTTTCCACCAACAATCAGCATAGGTTTCATTTTCATAGCATCACCAATAGATCTGGTTTTCTTAAAAAATTGATAGTGGCCGTTCCAATGGGTGTCAGGTTATTTTGTATTTCACTGTGATATTTATGCATTCCTCTACAAATTAGTAATTTTGTGAGTCCTGTCAAATGCTCTTCCCATTTATGCTTTTGATAAAAATTTAGTTTAATTAGTTTTCCATTTCTAAATCCTGTTATTCAACTTTATTGTTCAGTTTTAAGAGTTGCTTATATATTCTGAATATTAACTTCTATCACATGTGATTTGCAAATATTTTCATTGATTTCCTAAGTGGCATTGTCACTCTCTTGAAGTTTTTTTTGATGTGCAAAAATTTTGAAGTATATTTCAGTTAAATTTTTCTGTTCTTTTCATTGTTGCTTATGCGTTTAATGTCATCTAAGAAAATGATTCCAAGGCCAATGTCATGTCTTTTCTCCATGTTTTTTTAAGACACTTATTAGCTATTTTTTATATCTAAGTATTTTATATAAATTTTTTTGTCTATGGTTCAAGGAAAGAATCCAGCTTTATCAGTATAGATATTCAGTTTTCAGCATTAATTTTTGAAGATATTATCTTTTCTCTATTGTGTGCTCCTGGCAGCTTTGTGGAAGATCATTATTTACAGAAGGGTTCATTTTTGGGCTCTCTATTCTGATTTATCATCTGTTTATCTGTCTTTGTGTCAGTACTATATTGTTTTCATTATAGCTTTTAATATGTTTTGAAATGGGAAAGTTTATTACCTCCTCTATTTCATGGGTGTTTGGCTAGTTATAGTTAATAATCAAATTTTAAAATGTTAAATAATATTTCTGTTTAAAAATCCTGTGCTATTAGGAATTTTATAGAAATTACGACAAATTTGTTTACCACTGTAGGTTGTACTGACATCTTAAAAAATTAAATTTTTTGACTCTTGAGCAAGAATATGTTAAAGAGTGTTTTATTTTTATTTTATTTATTTATTTATTTTATTTAGAGAGAGAAGGGATCTTGCTTTTTTTTTTTTCCTTTGAGACAGAGTCTCACTCTGTCATCCAGGCAGGAGTGCAGTGGCACAATCTCAATTCAACACAACCTCCACCTTCTGGGTTCAAGTGATTCTCCTGCCTCAGCCTCCTGAATAGTTGGGATTACAGGCACTCACCACCATGCCTGGCTCATTTTTTTGTATTTTTAGTAGAGACGAGGTTTCACCATGTTGGTCTGGCTGGTCTCAAACTCTTGATGTCAGGCAATCCACCTGCCTCGGCCTCCCAAAGTTCTCGGGTTACAGAGGTGAGCCACTGCACCCAGCTCATGTGTTTAATTTTTATATACTTTTGGATTTTCCTGTTTTACTTTTACCTTAGGTTCAAATAATAGCATCAGCAAATCTGTCCTGCCAAATGAAAAGAGGAAAACCTTTCAAAATAACCAAATTTTGAAAGAGCATACTGGCACTGCATATGCCCTATAAAGAATGCTGAAAAGCATCCCACTTATTCTAAAATTGACCACATAATTGGAAGTAAAACACTCATCAGCAAATGCAAAAGAATGGAAATCATAACAAACAGTCTCTCATACCACAGTGCAATCAAATTAAAACTCTGGATAAGTAACTCACTCAAAACCACTCAACTACATGGAAACAGAACAACATGCTCCAGAATGACTACTGGGGAAATAATGAAATGAAGGCAGAAATAAGTAAGTTCTTTGAAACCAATAAGAATGATGACACAATGTACCAGAATCTCTGGGTCACAGACAAAGCAGTGCTTAGAGGGAAATTTATAGCACTAAATGCTCACAAGAGAAAGCAGGAAAGGTCTAAAATCAACATCCTAAAATCACAATTAACAGAACTAGAGAAGCAAGAGCAAACAAATTCAAATGCTGGCAGAAGACAAGAAATAACTAAGATTAGAGCAGAACTGAAGGAGATAGAGACACAAAACACCCTTCAAAAAATTAATAATTCCAGGAGCTGGTTTTTTGAAAAGATCTACAAAATAGATAGACTGCTAGCCAGACTAATAAAGAAGAAAAGAGAGAGGAATCAAATAGATGCAATAAAAAATAATCAAGAGGGTATTGGCACTGATCCCACAGAAATACAAACTACCATCAGATAATACTGTAAACACCTCAATGTAAAAAACTAGATAATCTAGAAGAAATGGATAAATTCCTGGACACATACCCTCTGAAGACTAAACCAGGAAGAAGTCAAATCCCTGAATAGACCAATAACAAGTTTTGAAATTGAGGCAGTAATTAATAGCCTACCAACCAAAAAATACCTGGGACCAGACAGATTCACAGCCATATTCTACCACAGGTACAAAGAGGAGCTGGTACCAATTCTTCTGAAATTATTCCAAACAATAGAGAAAGAGGGACTCCTCCCTAGCTCATTTTGGGCCAGCATCATCCTGATACCAAAGCTGGCAGAGACACAACAAAAAAAGAAAACTTCAGGCCAATATCCCTGATGAACATTGATGTGAAAATCCTCAATAAAATACTGGCAAACTGAATCCAGCAGCACATCAAAAAGCTTATCCACCATGATCCAGTCAGCTTCATCCCTGGGATGCATGGCTGGTTCAACATACACAAATCAATAAACGTAATCCATCACATAAACAGAACCCATGACAAAAACCACGTGATTATCTCAATAGATGCAGAAAAGGCCTTCAACAAAATTCAACACCCCATTCATGCTAAAAACTCTCAATAAACTAAGTATTGATGGAACATATCTCAAAATAATAAAAGCTATTTATGACAGACCACAGTTAATGTCATACTGAATGGGCAAAACCTGGAAGCATTCCCTTTGAAAACTGGCACAAGACAAGGATGCCCTCTCTCACCATTCCTATTCAACATAGTATTGGAAGTTCTGGCCAGGACAATCAGGCAAGAGAAAGAAATAATGAGTATTCAAATAGGAAAAGAGGAAGTCAAATTGTCTCTGTTTGCAGATGACATGATTGTATGTTGAGAAAACTCCATCATCTCCGCCCCAAATCTCCTTAAGCTGATAAGCAACTTCAGCAAAGTCTCAGGATACAAAATCAATGTGCAAAAATCACAAGCATTCCTATACACCAATAACAGACCAACAGAGAGCCAAATCATGACTGAGCTCCCATTCACAATTGCTACAAATAGAATAAAATAACTAGGAATACAACTTCCAAGGGATGTGAAGGACCTTTTCAAGGAGAGCTACAAACCACAGCTCAATGAAATAGAAGAGGACACAAACAAATGGAAGAACATTCCATGCTCATGATAGGAAGAATCAATATCATGAAAATGGCCATACTGCCTAAGGTAATTTATAGACCCAATGCCATCCCCATGAAGCTACCAATGACTTCACAGCATTGGAAAAAACTACTTTAAATTTCATATGGAACCAAAAAAGAGTCCACATTGCCAAGACAATCCTAAACAAAAAGAACAAAGCTGGAGACATTACAGTACCTGACTTCAAACTATTGTAAAAGGCTACAGTAACCAAAACAGCATGGTATTGGTATCAAAACAGATATATAGACCAATGGAACAGAACAGAGGCCTCAGAAATAACACCACACATCTACAACCATCTGATCTTTGACAAACCTGACAAAAAACAAGAAATGGGGAAAGGATTCCCAATTTAATAAATGGTGTTGGGAAAACTGGCTAGCCATATGCAGAAAACTGAAACTGGACCCCTTCCTTACACCATATACAAAAATTAACTCAAGATGGATTAAAGACTTAAATGTAACACCCCAAACCATAAAAACCCTAGAAGAAAACCTAGGCAATGCCATTCAGGGCATAGGCATGGGCAAAGACTTCATGACTAAAACAGCAAAAGCAATGGCAACAAAAGCCAAAATTGACAAATGGGACCTAATTAAACTCAAGAGCTTCTGCACAGCAAAAGAAACTATCATCAGAGTGAACAGGCAACCTATGGAATGGGAGAAAAATTTTGCAATCTATCCATCTGACAAAGGGCTAATATCCAGGCTCTACAAAGAACTTAAACAAATTTACAAGAGAAAAGCAACCCCATCAAAAAGTGGGCAAAGGATAAGAACAGACACTTCTCAAAAGAAGACATTTATGCAGCCAACAAACATATGAAAAAAAGCTCACTGTCACTAGTCATGAGAGAAATGTAAATCAAAATCACAATGAGATACCATCTCACAACAGTTAGAATGTAATCATTAAAAAGTCAGAAAACAACATATGCTGGGGAGGATGAGGAGAAATAGGAACACTTTCACACTGTTGGGGGGAGTGTAAATCAGTTCAACCATTGTGGAAGACAATGTGACAATTCCTCAAGGATCTAGAATCAGAAATACCATTTGACCCAGCAATCCCATTACTGGGTATATACCCGAAAGATTATAAATCATTCTACTATAAAGACACATGCACACGTATGTTTGTTGCAGCACTATTCACAATAGCAAAGACTTGGAACCAACCCAAGTGCCCATCAGTGATAGACTGGATAAAGAAAATGTGGCACATATACACCACGGAATACTATGCAGCCATAAACAAGGATGAGTTCATGTTCTTTGCAGGGACATGGATGAAGCTGGAAACCATAATTCTCAGCAAACTAACACAAGAACAGAAAACCAAACACTGCATGTTCTCACTCATAAGTGGGAGTTGAATAATGAGAATGCATGGACACAAGGAGGGGAACATCACACACTGGGACCTGTCAGCGGGTGGGGGGCTAGGAGATGAATAGTATTAGAAGAATAACCTAATGTAGATGATGGGTTGATGGGTTCAGCAAACCATCATGGCACGTGTATACCTGTGTAACAAACCTGCACATTCTGCACATGTATCTCAGAACTTAAAGTGTAATAATAAAAAAGGAAAAAAAAAGAATGCTGAAGAGTTTCTTTTATTGAAAATAAAATGACTCAAGAAAATGACACATAATCATATCTATATATGAATGCATATATATGTGTATATATATGTATGTATATTATATATATGTATGTGTACATATATATGTATTTGTATATATATATTTTTTTTGAGCCGAGTTTTACTCTTGTTTCCCAGGCTGGAGTGCAGTGGCCTGATCTCTGCTCACTGCCACCTCTGCCTTCCAGTTTCATGTGATTCTCCTGCCTCAGCTTCCCAAATAGCTGAGATCACAGGTGTCCGCCACCACACCCAGCTAATTTTTTGTATTTTTAGGAGAGAGGGCATTTCACCATGTTGGCCAGGCTGGTCTCGAACTCCTAACCTCCTGATCTGCCCACCTCAGATTCCAAAAGTGCTGGGATTACAGGCATGAGCCACTGTGCCTGGCCAAAAAAAAAAGGGGGGATTATTTTCTTGGATAGATATTCACATACAAAAAAATGAAATTTCTTAGCATAATCATAATGGTGCAGAAAACATTTTTAAGTATTTTCTATAATTTGAAAAAAATTTAGAAAACAATGAAAATTTTGAGAGTAAAATCTTTGTATGCAACTGAAGTTCATCTTCTACCAGGTTAAAATGTAGTTATATCTTTTAGAAGTTTTATGTAATTTCCAAAGTACCACAAGGTATCACAAAAAAAAAATCTGTATAGATATGCAAAACAAAATAAGGAAAAAGTAAAAGCATATCAGTACAAAAATCAAAACGACACAAAGGAAGACACAGAGAGAAAATTAGAGACAAAGATACAACAATCAAATGAAACAATAAAATAACATTATTAAGTCTTTCTGTTTCAGAAAGTTATTTAAACATGTATATAAAATGAACTTAATTCAGAGACATACATTTAATAAAGGAATTAGATAATTTTAAAAACCAAGATGCAACTTGCCTTTCTATAATAGAGTCATCAGAGATCTAATGATAAAAAAGACTGATAGTGGCAAGATGGATGTAGATATTCTATGCAAATATTAATTAAATTAGAGCAGAAGAGGTCAAAGATGTAAGGGTGGGTTGCCCCTACACACCTGTGGGTGTTTCTCGTAAGGTGGGACGAGAGATTTGGAAAAGAAAAAGACACAGAGACAAAGTATAGAGAAAGAAATAAGGGGAACCGGGAAACCAGCATTCAGCATATGGAGGATCCCGCCAGCCTCTGAGTTCCCTTAGTATTTATTCATCATCTGTGGGTGTTTCTCAAAGAGGGGGATGTGTCAGGGTCACAAGACAATTGTGGGGAGAGGGTCAGCAGACAAACACGTGAACAAAGGTCTTTGCATCATAGACAATGTAAAGGATTAAGTGCTGTGCTTTTAGATATGCATACACATAAACATCTCAATGCTTTACAAAGCAGTATTGCTGCCCGCAGGTCCCACCTCCAGCCCTAAGGCGGTTTTTCCCTATCTCAGTAGATGGAATGTACAATCGGGTTTTATACCGAGACATTCCATTGCCCAGGGATGGGCAGGAGACAGATGCCTTCCTCTTGTCTCAACTGCAAGAGGCATTCCTTCCTCTTTTACTAATCCTCCTCAGCACAGACCCTTTATGGGTGTCGGGCTGGGGGACGGTCAGGTCTTTCCCTTCCCACGAGGCCATATTTCAGACTATCACATGGGGAGAAACCTTGGACAATACCTGGCTTTCCTAGGCAGAGGTCCCTGCGGCCTTCCGCAGTGTTTGTGTCCCTGGGTACTTGAGATTAGGGAGTGGTGATGACTCTTAAGGAGCATGCTGCCTTCAAGCATCTGTTTAACAAAGCACATCTTGCACCGCCCTTAATCCATTCAACTCTGAGTTGACACAGCACATGTTTCAGAGAGCACAGGGTTGGGGGTAAGGTTATAGATTAACAGAATCTCAAGGCAGAAGAATTTTTCTTAGTACATAACAAAATGGAGTCTCCTATGTCTACTTCTTTCTACACAGACACAGTAACAATCTGATCTCTCTTGCTTTTCCCCACATTTCCCCCTTTTCTTTTTGACAAAACCGCCATCGTCATCATGGCCCGTTCTCGATGGTCGCTGTCTCTTCGGAGCTGTTGGGTACACCTGCAGACTAACAACAGACAAAACAGGCACACAAGGATTAATATGAGATTTATAATCGTAGTACTTCCAATGGTCTTAACCCAAGTGACAGGGTTAAGGTTTGCGAGGCCATCAGCAACTCCTGCAATTGCCTCAGTTCCTGGCACCAAATTTAAATGGGCTTTTGATGCTTCGAAAATTTGTTCTTTTAATTTGGAAATGTCTAAAGTGAGATTATCTTATCTTCCCTGTAGATGGCGTCTAACCATGTCCCAGTGATGCTCAGACTCATTATAAATTTGGGGTGTAATACAAAAATCTGACGTATTCCAGTCACATTGTAACTGGAAACGATGTTCTAAGCTCATGAGCCTGTCTCCCATCCAAATGACAGTTTGTCTAAGATCATTAATTTGATTTGCCAATTTTTGATCAATACTAGATTGTGAATTCCACAATCTTGTAGAATTTTTTTGCCAATCATTAACAAAGTTTACTGACTGAACAGAAGAGTGCAATGCAACTCCTGCTACAGCAGCCGTAGCTGTGACTGCAATTAATCCCATAATCACTGCAATTAAAGTAAAAATGAATCTTTTGGATCTATTTAAAACACCTTTTAATACTTCAGTCAAAATATGGATGGATGGTGAGGCCTCCCACGGTCGGTCCATGGACACAGGGATCCACACGCCCTCTCTTGCTCTCACCAGCAGAATACGGTGTTGCCAATTAAAAGTTGAATCAATGCAAGTAAGCAATCTACAATTTTCACAGGTTATAGTCTGAGAGTCTGGTTTAATAACTATATTTCCTACAACTAGCATATAAGGGGGCTTTACGCAACTTTGTAAAGGAAGTGTTAGACTGGAATTTAGGTCGACAGTATAAAATGGCTTACGATCTCTTGTTTCTAAAGTTTGATTTCCAGACCAAATTCTAATGTGGTGTGAGGCCACAGTAAGCCTCCATAATTCTGGATGTTCAGGACCAGAAACAGGACTTATTATTTTTGGTCTTGGGGTAGAGATTCCTTTTTCTCCCCATTCCCAAGGGTAGAAAGACTGCAATTTTTTATGCTTATGTTTGTCTAAACTTTCTGTTAAGTCGCTATCAACAGCTGGACTCACTTGTGCACTTGGACATGACTGAGTTTGTCCTGAGCAATTGTGGTAGAATTGACCTCGAGGTGCCCAATCTATAATAGTTCCGAATTCATTGTTTTGTAATATCACCGCACTATTGGCCACACATTCTTCCCAAACTAAAACTTCTGTATTTTTTGATTCTTTGGGAATTTCCTTGGGGCAAGGTTTCCCTTTAGGTCTAAATTTTAATGATCTTTGATAAGAAAAGTCTTGTAAATAATTTACCCGTGGCCTGAGTGACATCCCGCTTACCATGTGATAAGTGAATCTACTGATGGGACTGACAGTAGGTACTTCCACCAACCAATTTTGGACTGCAGGCATTAAACATCCTGGTGCTCTCCCTAGGCAAATAGGAGGATAACGATACCCAATGGAAATATTTATCATCATCCCTTCTTCCTCAGGTTTGGCAGGGCAGCGATCATCTATGGGGCCAGGTACCCATACACTATCATTAACATATATTTCTATAGGATTATCCATCCATGTGACTGGTGTTACCATCTCCGTGGAGGCCCTTTTCTTTGCATCTCCGATGGGTTCATTGTAGAACTTCAAATGTCTAGTGGGTATCCAAACAGGAAGCTGATTTTCTCCTGGTGAAACACAAGCAAAACCTCTCCCCCACGTTATCACCTTCCCTATTTCCCATGTCTTATTTTTATTATCTTTCCACCAAATTAGTTTTCCTTCATGTGGGCTGTTCTTTTTACCAGTAAGATGTTGTTCTGCAGAAGTAGTAGTCTGATTTCTATAAATGTTTAAAAAATTTAAAGTATAGAGTGCTAGATTAAGTTGCATCTGAGGAGTGGTACACTCCTTACTGTCTCCCCCTTCTTTTTGTTTAACTAATTGAGTTTTGAGTGTTCTATTCTTTCAACTATGGCCTGTCCTTGGGAATTATAAGGAATTCCTGTTGTATGTGAAATTTTCCACTGACTTAAGAATTTTTGGAAAGCTTTACTACAATATCCTGGTCCCTTGTCAGTTTTGATTTTTTCTGGAACTCCCATTACAGCAAAACAAGACAATAAATGTTTTTTAACATGGGAAGTACTTTCTCCTGTTTGGCAAGTTGCCCATATGAAATGTGAATAAGTATCAACTGTTACGTGAACATATGATAATCTTCCAAATGAAGGTACATGCGTGACATCCATTTGCCATAATGCATTAGGACACAGACCTCTGGGATTAACTCCTGCCTCTTGAGTGGGCAGGTGTAAGACTTGACACTGGGTGCAATGTTGTACAATATCTTTTGCCAGTTTCCATGTGACATCAAATTTGTTTTTTAATCCTGCTGCATTTACATGAGTCAAAGCATGAAGTTCTTGTGCTTTTATGAGTGCAGATGATACCAGTAAGTCAGCTTGTTCATTTGCTTTAGTCAAAGGCCCTGGTAAATTAGTGTGTGCTCGAATATGAGTAATATAGAATGGGAAATTTCTTTTTCTTACAGTTTGTTGTAATAAATTGAATAGCTGGTTTAACTGATCATCCATGCGATATTTAATTAGAGCTGTCTCAACATCCCTTGTAGCCTGTACTACATAGGCAGAATCTGATATAATATTGATAGGCTGGTCAAAATCTTGTAACACTGTAATGACTGCAACCAACTCTGCTCTTTGAGCCGATTGATATGGAGTTTTGATTACTCGTTCTTTCGGCCCTGTGTAAGCTGCTTTTCCATTGCTGGAACCATCAGTAAATACTGTTAGAGCATTTTCTAAAGGTTCACGTCTGGTAATTTTAGGTAGAATCCAAGTAGTCAATTTTAAGAACTGGAAGATCTTTGTTTTTGGGTAATGATTATCAATAATTCCCACAAAATTAGCAAGACCAATCTGCCATGCACCAGAATTGATAAAGGCTTGTCTAACTTGTTCCTTGGTTAAAGGGACAACTATTTTGTCTGGGTCATTTCCACATAATTTTATTATTCGTAATCTTGTCTGACCGATTAATGTAGCTATTTGATCCAAGTACAATGTAAAAGTCTTAACTGTACTGTGAGGAAGGAATGACCACTTCACAAGATCAGTATTTTGAATAATGATGCCTGTTGGAGAATGTGCAGTGGCAAAAATCAAAAGTTGGAGTGGGGCTAAGGGATCTATTCTATTTATTTGCGCTGACTGAATTTTTTCTTCCACTAATTTAATTTCTTTTGTTGCCTCTGGGGTTAACATTCTTTTACTATTTAAGTCTGAGTCTCCTCTTAAGATAGAGAACAAATTTGACATGGCATAAGTAGGAATGCCTAGAGTTGGCCGAATCCAATTAATATCTCCCAGCAATTTTTGAAAATCATTTAGTGTTTTTAATGTGTCTTTTCTTATTTCTATTTTTTGTGGCTTAATTTTTCTATTTTCTATCTGCATCCCTAAATAATGAAAAGGAGTAGAGGTTTGGATCTTATCAGATGCTATTGCCAGTCCTGCATTGGCAACCTCTGCTTGCAGAAATGTATAACAGTCAATTAATTTATCTCTCGTTTTTGCAGCACATAAAATATCATCAATATAATGAATAATATAACAGTCTGAAAACTTGTCTCTAACTGGTTGAAGAGCTCGACCTACAAAAGTCTGACAAATAGTTGGACTATTAAGCATTCCCTGAGGTAACACTTTCCACTGAAACCTGGTGGCTGGTTCTTTATTATTTATGGCTGGTATAGTAAAGGCAAATTTTTCACAATCCTGCTCTGCCAGAGGGATGGTAAAAAAGCAATCCTTTAGATCAATTATAATTAAAGGCCAATCTTTTGGGATCATGGCTGGAGAGGGCAACCCGGGTTGGAGAGGCCCCATGGGTTGAATTACGGCGTTTACGGCCCTTAAGTCAGTTAACATACGCCATTTGCCTGATTTCTTCTGAATTACAAACACAGGAGAATTCCAAGGTGAGAACGAAGGCTCAATATGACCCTTTTCTAACTGTTCATTTGCTAATAAATGTAAAGCCTCCAGTTTTTGTTTTGGTAGCGGCCACTGATTTACCCACACCGGTTTTTCTGTTTTCCAAGTTAATGGTATGGGTTTAGGAGGCTCTATAGTGGCCGCCCCTAAAAAGGATACCCTATTCCTTCTCTTTTTTGATTTATTTTAGCCTCAAATGGAATTTTAATGCCATCTTCATTTTTCCCTAGTCCCTTTCCTGGTATATATCCCATCTTGGTCATGATTTTTTGACTCGTGGGGCTATATAATGGAGCGGGCATGGTGATTTCCGCACCCCATTGTTGTAATAAATCTCGACCCCACAGATTAAGAGGAATTTAAGTAATCATTGGCTGAACAGTACTTTCTTGATTATCTGGCCCTAAGCAATGTAAAATCTCCGTACTTTGATACACTTCTGAGGCTGTGCCTATGCCGACAAGTCCTGTAACAGCCTTTTGTTTAGGCCAATTTTTTGGCCACTGATTTAAGGCAATGATAGAGACATCTGCTCCAGTGTCTACCAACCCTTCAAACTGTTTTCCTTGAATAATGGCCTTACACACAGGTCTGTTCTCTGAGACCTGACTTGCCCAATATGCAGCCTTTCCTGTTGGATCAGTGCTTCCAAGCCCTCCTATTCTTTTTATTTCACTATTTCCACCCTTAATATATGGCAGGAGTAATAATTGAGCAATCCTGTCTCTTGGACTGGCACTCCAAGGAATTGAAGAGCTAATAACCAATTGAATTTCGCCTTTATAGTCTGAATCAACCACACTAGTATGAATTTGAACTCCTTTTAGATTTAGACTTGATCGTCCCAAGATTAGTCCTACAGTCCCCTTAGGCAGGGGGCCATATACCCCTGTGGGGGTTTTTTGTGGGGGCACCCCTGGAAGCAGAGAGACTGCTTGTATAGTACATAAATCTACTGCTGCACTGCCGCTTGTGGCGGGAGACAATTGTTGTATTGTGGTAACTGGCTTATTCCCTGAAACACTTGGGACAGTGGGGGTTGTTGTCCCTGAAAACCCTGAGGAACAAATGGCTGAATTGGGAATGCCCCAGTTTGTTGTGGGGCCTGAGGCTGGCCCCTTTGCTCGTTTCCCGACAATGGTTGCCCATTTTTATCAAATTTAGAACGACATTGACTAGCCCAATGTTTTCCTTTTTTACATCTTGGACATAAGTCAGGTGGCTCTCTACCTGTTGTGGTAGTAGCTTGAATAGTTATATTCTGTTTATTTAAGACTGGGCAATTCTTTTTTAAGTGACCAATTTGACCACAATTATAACATTTTCCTCCAAATGTCCTCCTAAAACAACTCCTGTTATTGCTTGAGCCATAAGCATAGCTTTATGCATAGCTCCTCCGATTCCATCACAGGCTTTTACATATTCTGAGATTACATCTGATCCTGCAGGAACCTTTCCTTTTAATGGCTTAATGGCTGATTGACACTCAGGATTGGTGTTTTCATATGCCATCAACTCCACTATGACCTTACGGGCTTTTTCATCGGCAATTGACTTTTGAGCAACATCTTGGAGCCTTGCCACAAAATCAGGATAGGGCTCTTTTGAACCTTGTCTTACTGTATTAAATGAGGGGCAGGTACTTCCTGGGTCTTGGATTTTTTCCCAGGCTCTAAGGCAGATAGCTCTAACTTGCTCAATGGCCTCATTTTGCATTAATGCTTGTTGACTAATAGTACTCCAATTTTGACCTATTCCTAATAGTTGATCTGCATCTATGTTAACTGGAGGATTGGCAGCCCTATTTCTTCGGACCTGTTCTTGTACCCCATCAATCCACCAAGTCTTAAATTGTAAAAATTGAGAGGGTGAGAGAGACGATTTTGCCAGAATCTCCCAATCATAAGGAATGAGTCTATGTCCATGAGCAATGGAATCTAATAATGTCCTCATATAAGGGGAGTTGGGTCCATACTGTTTTACTCCCTCTTTCATATCTTTTAGCATTTTTATCGAAAAAGACTTGTATCTGGCCTCAACTGTGAGAGGCTCTCCCTCTTGGGCTCCTTCTCCAGGTGGCATCGGTTCTAACGTTACTGGGAATTGCCATGCCTCAGTATCTCCTTCCTTTCTTGATTTATCAATAATTTCATGTAATTCACTACCCTGTCTACTAGGTGGTGCCGTAGGATTAAGTCTCCTAGTGGGCGGCTGAGGGTATGGCGCCCTGCCCTGTGGTGCTGGGGGCATTCCTGGATATCCATACTGACTTTCTGGGGGTGGCCGATACTGAAGTTCAGCCGGAGGCCAGTATTGATAGGCTACTGGCGGTTGGGTCTTATTTTCTTTAACCTGCTTTTGAGGTTGTAATGTTACAGGCACCTGACCTGCTGGAAGAGGACTTGTGCCTCGTGGTTTAGACTCTGATGGCCCCATTAATTCTGGACCTTTTCCTTCTAATTTTAACGTTTCAGGATATATCACCTCCTGTAATTGATTATAGTCAACATTTTGCGTTGACTGAGCCATTACCGGCTCTGCTACATATTCGCAATGTAAACTTTCGGTTTCTTTCTGGGATTTTTTCCTTGTGTTTTCATTACAATCTATTAAACAGCTTCCAGGGGCATCAGAAACTGAAATACCATCTTCTTCTGTTTGAAATGGTTCTAAAGCTGCTTTAATAATGGCCCAATCATTCCATACTGTAAGTGGAATGATATTACCCTTCCTACCTGCTTGTTTTAGTTCCTTACCAATTCTTTTCCAATCTTTTAGATCTAAAGTTCCTTGTTCTGGAAACCATGGGCAAAATTGTTCTATTATTTGAAATAGCTTGATTAGATTTTTTGTAGATACTTTAACTTCCCCTCTTTTTAAAAGAATTTTAATAAAGCTGAGATAAGAGGCATATTTACTTTTAATTTTACTTTTAGTTTGCCCCATTATCACCCTAGCTTCTTCCGAGCGCACAAGCTTACCGTAAGGCTGACTGTAGACGTACTCAGGATCTCTTGTCGACTTGTCCTCAATGACCACGCTCGAGCGTACCTTCACCCTAGAGAAAAGCCTCCACGTTGGGCACCAGATGTAGGGGTGGGTTGCCCCTACAAAAATAATGTTACTTTAGCTGTATCTTTATTTATTTATTTATTTTGAGATGGAGTCTTGCTCTGTTTCCAGGCTGGAGTGCAGTGGTGTGATCTTGGCTCACTGCAACCTCTGCCTCCTGGGTCCAAGTGATTCTCCTGCCTCAGCCTCCCAAGTAGCTGGGACTACAGGCGCGTGCCACCATGGCCAGCTAATTTTTGTATTTTCAGTTGAGACAGGTTTTCACCATGTTGGCCATATAGTCTCGATCTCTTGACCTTGTGATCCACCCGCCTCAGCCTCCCAAAGTGCTGGGATTACAAGCGTGAGCCACTGCGCCTGGCCTTGAGCTCTATCTTAAGTCAAAAACCGTCATATTTTATAAAATGTTTTTTTAAGTCAAAACTCTACAGAGACAAAACAAGCCATTACAAAATAATAGATTTATTTACTGGGAACCTATAACAAATTTGTATATCTGTGTGTGTGTGTGTTTTGTGCAAGTGTGTGTATGTGTATCTCACATTAGGCTTGCAAAATATATAAATCAAATATTGACAGAATTGAAGAAACACATAGAGAACAATATAGTTACAATAGCATATTTCTTTTCTTTTCTTTTCTTTTTTTTTTAGACGGAGTCTCGCTCTGTCTCCAGGCTGGAGTGCAGTGGTGTGATCTTGGCTCACTGCAACTTCCACCTCCCAGGTTCAAGTGATTCTCCTGCCTCAGCCTCCCGAGTAGCTGGGAGAACAGGCGTGCACTACCACCCCCAGCTAATTTTTGTATTTTTAGTAGAGACAGGGTTTCACCATGTTGGCCAGGATGGTCTTGATCTCTTGACCTTGTGATCTGCCTGCCTTGTCCTTCCAGAGTGCTGGGAATACAGGCATGAGCCACCACATCCAGCCTACAGTAGCATATTTCAATACCCCATTTTGTATAATAAAAATAAAACCAGACAGAATAATAGTAAGAGAACAGAGAACTTGAAGACAAGTATAAAACAATCATTCCTAACAGAGGTATAGAGAACACTCCTCAACAATATCAGGATACACAGCCTTCCCAACAGCTCATAAAACATTCTGCTTGATAGACCACCTGTTAGGCCAAAATAGAAGTCTTAACATAATTTTTAAAACTAAATTTATATGGATTACTTTCTATCACCAAAATGAAGTGACAGTATGAAACAATAATAGAAAAAAAAACCTGAAAAAAGTATAAATATATAGAAATTAACACACTATGAGCATGCTCCTGTTCAAAGGTTGAGATAAATATTTTGAAGATATCCATACTGTTCAATGTAAACTACAGATTTAATGCAATGTTCTTTAAAAGTTCACACTACATTTTGAAGAAATAGACACAGCAACTCTAAAAGTATATGGAATCTAATGAGACAATAAAATACCCAATAATCTTCAAAAAAAGAAATAATGTTAAAGGCATTACAGTTCCTGATTTTAAAACTCATTACAAATCTACAAAATTAAAACAATTTGGTGTGAGTATAAAAGTAAAAATGTAGACTAATAAAAATCAATGCAGCACATATATAAAATTTAACATATATATTCATATGAAGAATTATTTACATGCTCATAATAATTGCAGCATTGTTACAAATTTTTAGTAGAGGCCGGGTTTCGCCATGTTGCCCACGCTGGTCTCCTAGGCTCAAGTGATCCACCCATCGCTGCCTTCCAAACCGCTGGGATTACAGGTGTGAGCCATCTCACCCGGCCCAATTTATTTTCTTTTTTAAGGTTTTTTTTCTGAAAATTTTATAATATTTTGGATGGGAATGTATTGCCCTGTTTTGTATACATTGTAATCTTTGATTGATATTTGGACATTTTTTAAAAAGCTACCTGTCACAATCTTTATCACGTAGCTTTGTCCTGGCATAGTCTGAAAACAATTGTCTTTGCTAGAGATTCTGGGAGTCTTTCAAACATGTTCTTAGGATGTGTCTTGTCTGAAATTTGTTGTTTATTTTTTAGTTAAAGAAGTTTATTAATCTTTCTTCTTAATAGTCTTCACTTGCTACACCTGTTCCCTGTCTGTGGTACTGCAGTCTCTCTGCTGCTGTAACATTTACCTCTGGTCTCAGCAGACCCAAATTGTCACTCCAAAGTATACCACCATTTCATTCAGCACTTTGTCACTTTGTGACCTCTGTCTCTGCCACCATGACCATTTTGTTCATGGACCTATTGGGCAATGACAGGGGTAGCTGGGGAAAGATGCTGAGTGATGTCAACAAAACAGGTCATCCTATCCACTTGATTATCAAAATCCTCCTCTGCTGAGGTCACCCATTGGTTAGCACTCACATGGGATACAAATATCTTCACAGTTTTTGACCACTCAGGAGGTCCATCCACATACCTCTTCCCCAAATTTCTTTGTCACCAATTTTTCAATGGTGCTTCTTCCAAGTCCCTGGCAATCCAGTCAAACCATTGGCTAAAGCCCATGATTCAGTATGTAATCACACATCTGGCCATTCCTCCTTCCATGCAAAGTGCACAACCAGGTGCACTGCTCAAAATTCTGCCCACTGGGAAGACTTCCCTTCACCACTGTCTTTCAGGGATGTCCTAGAAAGGAACTGTAGCGCCACAGCTGGGTCCACTTTCAGGTGGTGCCTTCATATTATACAGAACCGTCTGTAAATGAGGCCATAGTCTTTTCTTCCTCTGTCAAATGATCATAGGGAACTCCCCATTAGGTCATCAGTGCAGGCTGGGGGAGAGAAGGCAGGGTGGCAGAAATGGAGACCATGGGCATTTGAGCCACTTCCTCATGTAACTTACTTGTGCCTTCAGAACCTGCTCAAGCCCGATCACATATATACCACATCCATTTGATGATGGAATGCTGTTGTGCATGACCCACTTTGTGGTTAGATGGGTCAGAAAGCACCCAGTTCATGATAGGCAGTTCAGGTCGCATAGTGACTTGATAAAACATAGTCAAACGTTCAGTTTTTACCAAAGCCCAGTAACAGGCCAAGAGTTGTCTCTCAAAAGGAGAGTAGTTATCTGCAGAAAATGGCAGGGCTTTGCTCCAAAATCCTAGAGGCTGCCAGGTGCAGTGGCTCATGCCTGTAATCCCAGCACTTTGGGAAGCCGAGGCAAACAGATCACCTGAGGTCAGGAGTTTGAGACCAGCCTGGCCAACATGGTGAAACCCCAAGTCTACTAAATATACAAAAATTAGCCAGACGTAGTGGTGGGTGCCTGTAATCCTAGCTACTCAGGAGGCTGAGGCAGGAGATTGCTTGAACCTGGGAGGTGGAGGTTGCAGTGAGGCAAGTTAATGCCATTGCACTCTAGCCTGGATGACAAGAGCAAGACTCCATCCAAAAAGAAGGAAAGAAAGAAAGAAAGCAAGAGAAAGAAAGAAAGAAAGAAAGAAAGAAAGAAAGAAAGAAAGAAAGAAAGAAAGAAAGAAAGAAAGAAAGAAAAGAAAAGAAGGAAGGCAGAAAGGCAGGAAGAAGGAAGTCAGGAAGGCAGGAAGGCAGGAAGAAGGAAGTCAGGAAGGCAGGAAGGCAGGAAGGAAGGAAGGAAGGAAGGAAGGAAGGAAAGAAAGAAAGAAAAAAACTCTAGAGGCCTCTGCTGTGATTCACCTGAGAAGGCTTGCCAAAGGCTGCAAATAGCATCTTTATTTTTCACCGACACCTCAAGATCCATTGGATCTCCTGGGTAATATGGCCCAAGTGGCAGAGCAGCTTGCACAGCAGCCTGGACCTGTTGCAGAGCCTTCTTCTTTTCTGGACCACACTCAGAACTGGCAGCTTTTTGGGTCACTCAATAAATGGGCCAGAGTAACACACCCAAATGAGGAATAGGTTGCCTCCAAAACCCAAATAGGCCCACTAGACATTGTGCCTCTTTCTTGGTTGTAGGATGGGCCAAATGCAGCAACTTACCTTTTACCTTAGAAGGAATATCTTGACAGGCCCTGGACCACTGGACCCCTGGAAATTTTACTGAGCTAGAAGGTCCCTAAATTTTAGTCAGACTTATTTTCCATCCTCTGGCATGCAAATGTCTCATGAATAAGTCTGGTGTGTTTGCTATTTCTTGCTCACTGGATTCGATCAGCATAATGTCATCAATGCAATGGACAACTGTGATATTTGCAAAAGCAAAAAGCGATAGAGGTCTCTTTGAATAAGATTATGACACAAAGCCAGAGAGTTAATATATCCATCAGGTAGGACAGTAAAGGTGTATTGCTGGCCTTGCCAGCTGAAAGCAAATTGCTTCTGGTGGGCCTTATGGACAGGAACAGAGAAAAGGGCATTTGCTAAGTCAATGTCTGCATACCAGGTACCAGGAGATGTGGTAATTTGCTCAAGCAATGAAACTACATCTAGTATGGCAGCTGCAATTGGAGTCATCACTTGGTTAAGCTTACGATAATCCACTGTCATTCTCCAAAATCCATCTGTCTTCTGCCAAATGAAAGAGTTGAATGGGGATGTGGTAGGAATCACCACCTTTGCGTCTTTTTAGTCCTTAATGGTGGCACTAATCTCTGAAATCCCTCCACGGATGCAATATTGGTTTTGATTTACTATTTTCCCAGGTAGAGGCAGCTCTAATGGCTTCCATTTGGCTTTTCCCACCCTAATAGCCCTCACCCTACTACTCAGGGAGCCAATGTAGGAGTTCTGCCATCTGCTAAGTATGTCTATGCCAATTTTGCATTCTGGAACTGGGGAAATGACCACAGAGTGAGTCTTGGGACCCACTTGATCAACTGTAAGTTGGACCTGAGCTAAATTTCTATTAAGTACATGACCTCCATAAGCCTCTACTTTAACTGGAGGACCACAGTGATGTTTTGGGTCCCCTGGAATCAATGTCACCTCAGAGCCAGTGTTTAATAGTCCCCAAAATGTCCAATCATTTCCCTTTCCCCAATGCACAGTTACCCCATAAAAGGCCAGAGATCTCCTTGGGGAAAGATGGGAGAAAGATTCACTGCATAAATTGTCATTAGTGTAGTGGGCTCGTTCCTCAAGGGAATCTGGCCTCTCCTTTATTCAAGGAGTTCTGGGTCTGTAAACTGGCTCAAGTCTGGAAATTGATTGAGGGGCCATGATTCTCTGTTTTTATATTTAAAATTAGTCTTTTTTCCATTTGACCTAGAAGTTTTCTGCTTGTATAAATTAAGCAGGAATGTAGTAGGTTTCCTATCAATTTTACTTCTAAGATCACTGTGATGAATCAGCCAATGCTGGAACTCTACAGAAGTCAGACTATTCTGATTGCCGTTTAGCCTCTGCTGTCCATTACAGTAGCTATGCCCACCTTGCCTTTGATGGTTGAGTGCCACCACTTGGCCCCTGCCATCATGGGATCCAATTATTCCCACTGTATTTAAATTTTGTAGTTGAGAGACCACGGTTCCCACTGTTAGATCTGACATGCAGAGAAAAGTAATTACAAGGTTCTTTAAAGATTCAGGTGCTGCTTTCACAAATCTATTTTGAAGTCAGTGGTCAAGGGTATATCTTCTGGACTTTCCATGCTGGAATTAGTAGGTCTAAAGTGACTAATCCACTCCAGTATCCCAATGTGCCTAAGCCTTTTGATTCCTCCCTCTACATTAAGCCAAGGGGCATCAGGCATTTCCAGCTCACTCACAGGGGGGCCATCTTTTAATCCATATTTCAGCTAACCAAGCAAATAAACTATTAGAAGCTTTTTTAACTCCCCAAGCTGCAACATTAAATGCAGTATTCCTACTTAGTGGGTCCAAATAAATAAATTCAGCCTGGTTCAACTCTATGTTCCTTCCACCATAATCCCACACCCTTAATATTCATCCCCAAGCCTGTTCTCCAGATATCTGTTTATATAAATTAGAAAACTCAAGCAGTTCTTTCTGAGTGTAGTGTACCTCCTCATGGGGCACACTCTCAAACTCACCTCTAGGGGGCCGCTGGGACTTTAGTCTACTTATATGCCTAGAAGCAAACAGGGGTGTTGAGGGTGGGTCCTGAGAAGAATCAACATTATTTTGCCTGGCAACTTTCTCAGGGGAGGCCATCACAGTTGCCTCAGGCAGTGCAGGGTTTATCTCAGACAAAGGTGGAAAGGCTGATGGCAGCATGCATCAGAAAGGGGATGTTGCCACTACTGGGGATGGGGAAGCTGTTTTTTCTGACAAAAAGCTCATCAGAGTTTACAAACTCAGAGCCCCTAGCTTCATCAGGGTCCTCCCATACGTCCCCATTCCAAGTGGCAGGGTCCCATTCTTTTCCAATCAGTGTCCTCACTTTAACAGTAGACACCTGGTGAGGCTGTGCATACATCTTTCATTGCAGGTCAGTCACTAACATAATAAGAGTTTGTGTGTGTTTTTCCACAATTTCATCTACAGGAGATGAGACTCTCACACAGGGCAATCTTAGCAGATTTGAGGCTCAGTAACTGCTTCTGAAGCCAAAAGATAGAATGCCTGAGTTCATCATTTTCTATCATCACTTTGTCCATTGAACTTAGGACAACCAGCTTCATTATGTTCCTTGGTTCTCCACATATGGTCAAACCTCCACCTCCCAGTTTCAAGCAATTCTCTGCCTCAGCCTCCTGAGTAGCTGGGATTACAGGCACTCATCGACACACCCGGCTAATTTTTGTATTTTCAGTAGAGAGGGGGTTTCACCATCTTGACCAGGCTGGTCTTGAACTCCTGAACTCGTGATCCACCTGCCTCAGCACCCCCAAAGTGCTGGGATTACAGGTGTGAGCCACCATGCTCAGCTGGTGAAAGGTATGTATAGAGTCACTAAACTCCTTGCCTCTCAAGAGTGATAAATCAGGAGTGTCAAATGCATTTATTTTACATAACTCTCTAAACAGTTCATCCCTAGGACTATCAGTGTTCTCCACACTATTAGAAGTAGAGTCCTTAGCATTTTTGGGTCTAATCATATTAAGCAGCCAACCCCCGAAACACCAGAATCAAAAAAAGAACTCCATCCTTAATATTCTGTTCCTCTAGAACCACTCCTGTTACCAAAATCTGTATTAGTCAGGGTTCTCCAGAGGGACAGAACTAATGGTGTGCGTATATATACATATATGTTAATTAAGTATTAACTCACACAATCACTAGATCTCACAACAGGCCATCTGTAGGCTGAGAATCAAGGAGAGCCACTCCAAGTTCCAAAACTGAAGAACTTGGAGTCTGATGTTCAAGGGCAGGAAGCATCCAGCACAGGAGAAAGATGTAGGCTGGGAGACTAGGCCAGTCTTTCTTTTCACATTTTTCTGCCTGCTTATATTCTGGCCACGTTGGCAGTTGATTAGATTGTGCCCATCCAGATTAAGGGTGAGTCTGCCTTTTCCAGCCAACTGACTCAGTTGTTAATCTCCTTTGGCAACACCCTCACAGACACATCCAGGATTAATACTTTGTATCCTTCAATCCAGTCACGTTGACACACAGTATTAACCACCACACCTAGTTAAGAGAGTCAACATCTCTCCATTTGGCTGAGTCCAGGTGAAACAGTCATCACCATTTTTCTAAGCTGAATCCAGAAATGAGTCAGCATTCTACCTGTGGGCAGATTCACATATCACAGTCACAATTCCAACTGTGAATTTTTTTTTTTTTTTTTTTTTTGAGATGGAGTCTCGCTGTGTCACCCAGGCTGAAGTGCAGTGGCACGATCTGGGCTCACTGCAACTCCTGCCTCAGCCTCCCGAGTAGCTAGGACTACAGGCACCCGCCACCATGCCCGGCTAATTTTTTTTTGTATTTTAACTAGAGACAGGGTTTCACCGTGTGTTAGCCAGGATGGTCTCAATCTCCTGACCTCATGATCCGCCCACCTCGGCCTCCCAAAGTGCTGGGATTACAGGTGTAAGCCACTGTGCCTGCCCCAAACTGTGAATTTTTTTGGTGTGTGAGATTTAGAACCTCACCAGTGGGCTCTGTTTATATGTGAAGGTGACAATACTAAGTGTTAGCTTTGTCTGCGTATTAAAGTCACAATCTCACTTGCATACTGGGCCCTGGGATAAAACTTTGGACTGCCAGAGGGCTTTATGTAATTTCCATAAGTGTCATAATCTTCTGTGACTCTCATAGGTAGGAGCTCAGGCAGGAGAGTCACAACATTTGGGTGCTGGGCTCAGAGTTATGCCACAATCCCTTTTTTGGGCATGTCTCCTGCAACAGAGAAGAGGCACATTATGTAGAAAATTGGTTCAGGGATTTGTCACAATGTCCCCTTTGGATGGTGCACAGGCAGGTGAGGAGAGTCACATCACCCAGATAATGGAACTAGCAATATATCACAATGCCCTCTGATGGAAGGACAAAGACAAGAAAGTCACATAACCTAGGTGAGAAAACCTGACATAGGTCACAATTCATGTTATGAGTAGGGATCATGGAAAAGAGGAGAGTCACATAACCTAGGGGATGCACCCAGATATATGTCATAATCACTGCAGTGGGCAGGGCCTAGGCATGAGAATCACATCACATAAATGCTGGGCCTGGCCATATGTCACAATCCCCACGGTATACAGGTCCCAGAATAAAGTAGAGTCACATCATCTACATGTTGGGACCAAAGATATGTATCAATGACACCTGTGGGCAGGGGCCAGGCAGAAGAGCCACAGCACCTGTGTGCTGGACCCTGTGATAAGTTACTATTTATCTGTTGGCATGGCCTGGTCAGAAGAGGCAAATCAAACCACCTGGGTGCTGGGCCCAGTGATATGTCTCAATGTCTTCCATAGGCAAAGCCCAGGTAACAGAGGAGACTCACATCAAATAGTTGATGGGCCCAGAGATATTTCACAATGCTCCCTGTGAGCAGGGTCCAGGCAGGAGACTCACATCACCTTTGTGCTGGGCCACTATTTTTTGTGTGAGCAGAACATAGGAAAAAGAGAAGCGTTGGCTGGGCACAGTGGCTCACGCCTGTAATCCCAGCACTCTGGGAGGCTGAGGAGGGTGGATCACCTGAGATCAGGAGTTCAAGACCAGCCTGACCAACAAGGTGAAGCCCCATCTCTACTAAAAATACAAAATACACCAAGTGTGGTGGCAGGCTTCTGTAGTCCCAGCTACTCAGGAGACTGAGACAGAAGAATTACTTGAGCCCAGGAGCGGAGTTTTCAGTGAAACAAGATCATGCTACTGCACTCCAGCCTAGGTGACTGAGTGAGACTCCATCTCAAAAAAAGAGAGAAAAGCATCACATCACCTGAGTGCTGAGCCCAGATATGTCCCAATCCCTCTGTGAGCAGAATCCATGCAGAAGAAGAGAGTCAACATACATGGATGATGGGCACAGAGATATTTCATAATGTCCCCTGTAGGAAAGGCACAGGAAGAAGTGTAACATCACTTGAGTGTTGGACAGTGCAATATGTCAAAATAGCCAATGTGGTCAGGGCACAGGCAGAAATCACATAACCTGGGTGCAGGGCCTGACAGTGCATCACAATGTCCTCTATGGGCAGAGCCAAGGCAGGAGAATAGGTCACATCAGCTAAGTGCTTGGCCAAGTGATACGTCATAATCCCTACTGGGGGCTGGACCGAGGCTGGGAAGTCAAAGCGCTCAGATTCTGGGCAGAAGCATACATCAGAATCACACCAGCAGGATGATCCTGAAATGAAATTAACAATCCCACACATGTCCCAGTTTCAGGTATGAGAGTCAACACCTTTTGTAGGTTTGGTTTAAGTACCTGCATCACAATTTCAACAATGGGCTGGATTTGTACACAAAAGACCCAATCCCTCCTGAAGACTGTGTCCCCTTAATGAAGCCACAGCCTCACAGCTGTGGGGAATCTTGGTCTGAGAGTAACCAACCCACCTATGGATCAGAGCCACATATAAGAGTTAATTCTTCAACTTCCCACTGCCTCTGAGTGGGAGATTCAGAGCCTCAACTGTGGTCTGTGTTCATGTGGAAGGATGACCATCTTTACTATTGGCTACCTGTGCATAAGAGTGTCACAATATTACCTGTGTGCTGGGCCCTGTGAGGACGGTCTCTCTATCAATCAAGGGCTTTTTATGTTATGCATGAGAGTCAGAATTTGCTCTGAGACCTCCATGCTGGTATGAACCCATGATTGTACTCATGGCCCTAAACCCATGTATGAGAGTCAACATCTCTTTAATTGACCTGCTCCGGAGAGGAGATTCCTCAATTGCCCATGAGATGGTTTTAGAAATGAGTCACCATCTCATTTGTGGTCAGGTGTTTACATATGACAGTCACAATTCCAACTGTAAGCTGCATCCATGTATGAAGTTCAAGAACTCTCCAGTACACTGTGTCCTTGTGTGAATGCAATAATCCTAATAATTGGTGGGGTGTGCACACAAGATAAACAGTCTCGTCTGTGTGCTGGGCCTGTGATGACACTCTCTGTATCACCTGAGGGCTTTATACAGTATGTGAGGGAGTGGAAATAATCTATGACCTTCCTACAAAAAGGAGACTCAGGATCTTACCCATTTCTCTAAGCTTAGCTACAAGAGACAGTATCTCTCCTGGTGACTGGTATGAGAGTTATTATTGCACCTGTCAGCCAGGCCAAGATGTATGTAACAATCCCATTTGTCAGTAGAGAGTGAGCAGGATGGTCACATCACATGAGTGCTGGGAAAGGGTAAAATCACAATCATTTTTGAGGCCAGGGACCAGGGATAAAAGAAACATCACCTTAGTGCTAGGCCAAGGGCTATGTTCCACTGTTTTCTGTGGGCAAGGTGCAGGCAAAACAAATTCATCACCTGTTGCTGGGCCCAGCGATGTGTCACAATTTTCCCTGTGGGCAAAGTGGAGGCTAAAAACAAGGGTCATATTTCTTGGGTCATGATGCAGAGATACATCACAAGGCCTCCTGTGGACAGGCCACAGGTAGAAATCGCCAATTTCCTAGGTGTTGGAGCCCACGATATGTCAAAATACACAATGTATGCAAGGCCCAAGCAGGAGAAAAGATTCACATAACTTAGATGCTGAGCCTAGCAATACATCCCAATTTCTTCTTGGACAGATCCCAAGAGATAGAAGAGTCTTATCACACAGGTTTTGGGTCTAGCTATGTGTCAAAATATTCCCTGAAGGGAGAGATCAGAAAGGAGTGTAACCTCACCTAGGTGAGAAGCCCAGAGATGTTTCTGATTCTGTGTAAGGCTCAGGAATAAGGTAAGAGTCAGGTAACCTAGAAACTAGGCTAGATTATATGTTGCAATTACCCAAGTTGGGGGGGGGCTCTCATGAGAAGGGAGTTACATTATGTAGCTGCTGAGCTAAACAATGCATCACAGTTCCCACTGTGTACTGGTCCCAGAAAGGAGAGTCCCATCATCTAGGTGATGGGCCCAGAAATCTGGCATATGCATCCTGCGGGCAAGTAACAGGCAGAAGTATCTCAGCATGTCTGTGGTAAGCCCAGTATTAAGTTACTCTCCCTTCTATGGGCATGATCCAGGCAGAAGAAGTCACATCACCTAGGTGCTGGGCCCAGAGACATATCACAATCTCTTTTGTGGGAAAAGACAAGGTAAAAGAAGAGACTCACATCAAATAGTTGATGGGTCTAGAGATATGTTACAATCTTTCTGTGGGCAGGGTCTAGGCAGGAGACTCAGTCACTGTGGTCCTGGGCATAGCACTGTGTAAAAATGCTTTATTTTGGAAGAGCCAAGGCAGAAGAATATCACCTGTCTGTTAGCCTAGTGACATGTCACAACATCCCCTGAAAACCAAACCTTGAAAGAAAAGTAGAATAATGTCAGCTAGGTGCTGGTCCCAATTATTTGTCAAAATCCTTCTTTTGAGCAGAAATTGGTAGAAGAGGATTATCAAAACACAAAGTTGACTGGTGCATAGATATGTTACAGAAAACCTTGTAGGCAGGACCAGGCCAGAGAGTTACATCACCCAGGTATCAGACTCAGCAACATGTCAAAATTGCCCATATGGGCAGGGCACAGGCAGGGGTTTTCACCTGTGTGCTGGGCTCTGTTGGAACACTTTCTGCACCGCCTGAGGGCTTTGTAGAGTGTGCATAAAAGTCACAGTCTGCTCTGAGACCTTTCTGAGCATAGTTGGCAAGGTCCAGATTACAGAGTCCCCACTCTCTAGTTGACAGGGTCTAGATCAGAGAGTCTTCACCTACCTATGTACTGCATTTATTAATGAGTCACCACCTTAATTGTGGCCAAATGTTAATATATGACAGTCACAATTCCAACTTTGAACTGTGTCCACCTGTGAGATTCAGGAGCTCACTAGCTGGCTTTTGCCATGTGTAAGGGTGACAGTCCTAACAGTTGGCAGTTTCTGCATTTTAGAAACAATCTCACCTGTGCGCTAAGCCCTCTGAAGACATTCTTTGTGCCACCCAAATGGTTTATGAAACACACCAAAGATTGGTAATTCTTTCTTTCTTCTCTTTTTTTTTTTTTTTTTTGAGAGGGAGCCTCATCTCACTCTGTCACCCAAGCTGGAGTGCAATGGCATGGTCTCAGCTCACTGCAACCTCTGCCTCCCGGGTTCAAGTGATTCTCCCACCTCAGCCTCTTGAGTAGCTGGGATTACAGGCACATGTCACCACACCCGGCTAATTTTTGTATTTTTAGTAGAGACAGAGTTTCACTATGTTGGCCAGGCTGCTCTCCAACTCCTGACCTCGTGATTCACCCACCTTGGCCTCCCAAAGTGCTGGGATTACAGGCATGAGCCACACTGCCCAGTCAGATTGATAACTCTTTATGACATTCATACAAAGAGGAGGCCCAGGATCTTACTTGTTTCCCTAGGCTACAATACAAGAGACACTATCTCCCTATTGGCTGATTCCAGGTACGGGAATCATCATAGCACCTATGAGTTGGGCCAGGATATTTGTCACAATCCCAACTATAAGTAGAAAATGAGCAGAAGAGTCACATCACCTGGGTGCTGTATGAGGAATGTCACATTTCCAGGAAGCAGGGCACAGGCAGAAGGGTCACATAACCTGGTGGCCGAGCCCAGTGATATTTTACAATGCTCCCTGTGGGAAAAGACCTGCCAGAAAAGACACATCACCTGGTTACTGGGCCCAGCGATATGTCACAATCTTCTCTATGTGCAGGATGCAGGCAGAAAAAGAGTCACATCACTTTGGTGATAGATGCAGACATATGTCACAAGGCCGCCTATGGGCAGGGCTTATTAAGTAGCCTCTGATCCAGTCCTGTAGGTGTTCGGTCCAGCTACATGTCACAATACCAAAAATATGCATGGCTCAGCAAAAGAAAAGATTTACATCACCTAAGTGCTGGATCCAGTGATATGTCACAATCCTCTTCTTTGGCATGGCCGAGGAAGAAGTAGAGAGTCACATCACCTAGGCGTTGGACCAAGCCATATGTCACAATACACAATAAATGCAGGGCTCATGAAAAGAGAGTCAGATCTCTTAGGTGTGGAACAGTGGTACATCACAATTTCTCGTTTGTCAGAGCCACATCACCTAGGTGCTTGGTCCAGTAATATGTCAAAATTCCCTTGAGAGGTGAGCCCAGGAAGGAAAGTCACATCATTTCGGTGAGAAGCCCACAGATGTGTCACTATTTTCCCTGTGAATAGGGCTCAGGAAGAAAAGGATAGTCACATCATTTAAATGATGGGCCCAGAGATGGATTACAATGGCTCCTGGGTACAAAAACAAGGCAGAAGAATTACATCACCTGTGTGCTGGGTCCAGTGATGAGTCACTTTCCCTTGTGTGGGCATGGCTTCAGCAGGAGACAAGAGTCACATCACTAAGGTTCTGGTTCCAGAGATATGTCATAATCTCTCCTATTGACAAAGCATGGGTAGGAGAGGAGAGTCAAATGAAGCAGTTGATGGGCCCAGAGATATGTCACAATGCCCCCCCCCCCACCCCCAATAGGCAGAGTACAAGCAGGTGCCTCCCAATTCTTTAGGTGTTATGGTCAGGGACATGTCACAATACTTAAAAAATGCAAGACCCAGGCAATAAAACAGAGTCACATCACCTAGGTGCTAGGTTCGGTGATATATCACAATCCCTAATTCAAGAGGGCTCAGGGAAATAAAAAGAGTCACATAACCAAAGTGATAAAGGTAAAGATATGTCATAATACTCCTGTGGGCAGAGTCCATTCAGGAGAGTCACATTACCTTGATGTTGGACCCAGCCATATATCACAATACACAGCATATCCAGGGCTCAAGCAGGGAAGAAAAATCACATCGTCTAGTTGCTGGGTTTGATGATATGTCACAATCACTTGTTTTTGCAGAACCCAGACAGAAAAGAAGAGTCACATCTCCTAGTTCATGGATGCAGAGATAAGCCAAAAGGTTCCTTGTGGGCAGGACCCAGGCAGGAGGCTCTCGTGCCCTAGGTGTTTGTCTCAGCCATACGTCACAGTACCTAATATATGCAGGGCCCAGGCAAACAAGGAGAATCATAACACCTTGGTACTAAGTTTAGTGATATGTTACAATCCCCACTTTTGGCAGGGCCAGGATGCACACACATGCGAACAAAGGCACATCACATAGGTGATTAAAAAAAGAAAAAAACATATGTCATAATACCCCTGTAGGCAGGGCCCATGCAGAAGAGTCTCATCAACTAGGTTTTAGACCCAGTTATTTGTCACAATACACAATTTATGCAAGACTCAGACACAAGAGGAAAGTCATGTAACCTAGGTGCTGGGTCCAGTGATACATTAGAATCTCTCCTTGGGTAGAGTCCAAGCAGTAGAAAAGAGTTACATTACCTGGGTACTTGCTCCAGGAATATGTCACAATACCTCCTGAGGAAAGAGTCCAGGAAGGGGAGTCACATCACCTAATTGAGGGGCCCAAAGATATATTTCCCAGTGCTCCTTGCAGGTAGAGCTGGGGATAATCAAAAGAGTCACATAACCCAGGGGCTGAGCCCAGCTATATGTCACAACTACCCTAGGTGCAAGTCTCTGGTATGAGAGAAGAGTCACATTACATAGGTACTGGGCCAAGTAATATGTCACAATCTCCACTGTAGGAAGGTCTCAGGAAAAGAGAAGAGTCACATTATCTGGGTGATGGGCACAGGAACGTATCACAATTACCCTAGACAGAAGCGTTACATCACCTGTGTGTGAGGTCCAGTGATAAGCCACTCTTCCTTTTGTGCACAGGGTCCAAACAAAAGATGAAAGTCACATCACCTAGGTGCTGGGCTTCCAGAATTGTCTCAATCCCTCCTATGGTCAAAGCCAATTTAAGAGACAAGAATTATATTAGCTGCTCTGCCTATGGAGCAGCTTTTTTTGTTTGTTTGTTTCTTTACTTCTCTAATAAACTTGCTTTCATTTTACTGCATGGGATCACCCTGACTTCTTGGGGTCTGGATTAAAAGCCCTTTTCAGTAACAGCTTTCTGGCAAATTATAAAGGGACTATACTGAGGAGAAAACTGAACCAAAGGAAATAAACTGCAGCACCAATTAGCCAACTTTGGGTAACTAGTGGGGTATATTCTACCAGGGTAAAAAATGGGATTGGGTTAGAGGCCCAATATAGAAGCAGTACAGTCTCTCCTAAGACATATTGGGTTAAAGACCTCTCTTAATAAAAAGCTTGAGGACCCAGTTATGAAGGTTCAAGTCCTTTCTAAGATTTAAGGGGTTGGCCAGGCACGGCGGCTCATGTCAGTAATCCCAGCACTCTGGGAGGCTGAGGCAGGTGGATTACCTGACGTCAGAAGTTCGAGACCAGCCTGACCAACATGGAGAAAACCCATCTCTACTAAAAATACAAAAACTAGCTGGGCGTGTTGACATATGCCTGCAATCCTAGCTACTCAGGAGGCTGAGGTGGGAGAATCACTTGAACACGGGAGGCAGAGGTAGCGGTAAGCCAAGATCGTACCATTGCACTCCAGCCTGGGCAACAAGAGGGAAACTCTGGCTCAAAAAAAAAAAAATTTAGGGGGTTAGAGGCCCCTCTCAGTAATGTCACTCTTGGTTAAAAAATCGACGAGGCAGGCCAGGCACGGTGGCTCATGCCTGTAATCCCAGCTACTCAGGAGGCTGAGGCAGGAGAATGTCTTGAACCTGGGAGGCAGAGGTTGCAGTGAGCCAAGATCGTGCCACTGCACTTTTTAGATTAATTTTCCCTGTGCTCTTTGCTGACAGTTGTGCGTGACACGATTAGGCATGTACAGGATCATAAGACATGGGGAGCTTCTATTCTCCTCAAAAGGGGAAACTTTAGGTATATCTCCTAATGCTATCCCTCCCCCCTCCCCCTACCCCACAACAGGCCCCAATGTGTGATGTTCCCCTTCCTGTGTCCAAGTGTTCTCATTGCTCAATTCCCACCTATGAGTGAGAACATGCGGTGCTTGGTTTTTTGTCCTTGTGATAGTTTGCTGAGAATGGTGGTTTCCAGCTTCATCCATGTCCCTACAAAGGAAACGAACTCATCATTTTTTTATGGCTGCATAGTATTCCATGGTGTATATGTGCCACATTTTCTTAATCCAGTCTATCATTGTTGGACATTTGGGTTGGTTCCAAGTCTTTACTATTGTGAGTAGTGCTGCAATAAACATATGTGTGCATGTGTCTTTATAGCAGCATGATTTATATTCCTTTGGGTATATACCCAGTAATGGGATGGCTGGGTCAAATGGTATTTCTAGTTCTAGATCCCCGAAGAATCACCACAGTCTTCTATAATGGTTGAACTAGTTTACAGTCCCACCAACAGTGTAAAAGTGTTCCTATTTCTCCACATTCTCTCCAGCACCTGTTGTTTCCTGACTTTTTAATGATCACATGTAACAAACCTGCACGTTGTGCACATGTACCCTAGAACTTAAAGTATTTTATATATATTAAAAGAAAGGGGGAAACTTGAGAGCTAATGAAATTGCTGGAAAAGATCCCTTCATGACTGAGAAGTCACCGCCTGAATTTCTCAGTGCCGCTGCAATGGGTGGGTCTTTCACTGGCGTCCCTGAGCTCCTCCCTTTCCCCAACCTGCCTCAGGCAATGCTTTTCTTTCCTTCTCTCCTCTTTCTTTCTTATCTTTTCTGTTATTTAGTGCAACTGTCCTTTGTGGTTTTTTGTTTGTTTGTTTGTTTGTTTTGAGATGGAGTTTCACTGTTGTTGTCAGGGCTGGAGTGCCATGGCGCATTCTTGGCTCACCACAAACTCTGCCTCCTGAGTTCAAGTGATTCTCCTGCCTCAGCCTCCTGAGTAGCTGGGATTACAGGAACTTGCCACCATGCCTGGCTAATTTTTGTATTTTTAGTAGAGACAGGGTTTCACCATGTTGGTCAGGCTGGTCTCGAACTCCTGACCTCAAGTGATCTGCCCACCTTGGCCTCCCAAAGTGCTGGGATTACAGGCGTGAGCCACCACACCCGGCCATGTGTGATAGTTATATATGAAAGAGTTCTGATTAATTGGCTTAAAAATAATAAATGCTTAAGTCTAATTTTTTTTCAGAAAAGGAACAAACGTAATGCCTTTTATCTCATGTGACATAAGTAATCTTTGGGAACTAAAAGCAGTTTTACATGCAAGGTGTGTAAGAAAAGTAGAATGTGCTTTTGGTAAATGATCATAAGATGGCATAAAAATGTTAATTTTTTTGGCCTAGTTTAGAGGGCTAAAGAGTTGTTTTAAGTTAGGATTGAGCTGAAGGTTTGAGCAAGTTTTGGAAGGTTTGTAAAAATTAAGCTTGTAAAAAAAATTCTGTGTGTGAACATATTGGCTAAAGTTAAAGAGATATTATTCAGTTTTTTTTGTTTTTTCTTTTTTGTTTTTGAGACAGAGTTTCGTTCCTGTTGCCCAAGCTGGAGTGCAGTGGCGCAATCTCAGCTCACCGCAACCTCTGCCTCCCAGGTTCAAGTAATTCTCCTGCCTCAGCCTCCCTAGTAGCTGGGATTACAGGCATGTGCCACCATGCCCAGCTAATTTTGTATTTTTAGTAGAGACGGGGTTTCTCCATGTTAGTCAGGCTGGTCTCAAACTCCTGACCTCAGGTGATCCATCAGCCTTGGCCTCCCAAAGTGTTGGGATTACAGGCGTGAGCCACCATGCCTGGCCTGTATTCAGTTTTTTTAAATAAATTAAACATTGGAATATAAGTACAACGGGTTTTTTTTTTTTTAAAGCACAGATCTGTTCCTTAACAAAAATTGCAGAGTTATTAAACGTTTATGAAAATCTTGCCTTATGGTCAAACTGATTAAGATTGGATAGACTTGTATATAAGATTTTATTAAAAACTTGTTTTGGCCAGGTGCAGTGGCTCACACCTGTAATCCCAGCACTTCAGGAGCCAAGGAGGGAGGATCACTTGAGGTCAGGAGTTTGGGACCAGCCTGACTAACATGGTGAAACCCGTCTCTACTAAAAATACAAAAATTATCCAAGTGTGGTGGCACATGCTTGTAACCCCAAATACTAGGGAGGCTGAGGCAGGAGAATTGCTTGAGCCCAGGAGGCGGAGGTTTCAGTGAGCCAAGATCATGCCACTGCACTCCACCCTGGGTGACAAGAGTGAAACTCCATCTCAAAAAAAAAAAAAGAAAAAACTGGGTTTGAAATCAATAGTACACTAATTCATACGTGAAATGTAGGCTTCTCTTTTAAACAAGATTTTTATATTATATTTTGAAAAATGAAAAATTTTTGTCTGCCTTTTGAATAAACTACAAGAAAAAAAAGACAGGAGACAAATAGTTTGGAAAGCTAAGTCTTTATCAAAAAGGAAAGGTTTTTGCCTTTTTAATAATCTTTAAGAAGGCAAGTTATTTTTATTATTATTTTTGAGATAAAGTCTCACTCTGTTGCCCAGGCTGGATTGCAGTGGCGTGATTACCTCACTCCAACCTCCACCTCCCGGGTTCAGGTGATTCTCATGCCTCAGCCTCCTGAGTACCCGAGATTATAGGAACACATTACCCTGCCCACCTGTTTTTTGTTTGTTTGTTTGTTTGTTTTTTGGTCATTGTTTGTTTGTTTTTGAGATGGAGATGGCTTCCAACTATGTCTACACAGTCCCTGTGCAGGGTTCCTGACCCATGGTAAGTAAGGAATGTCATTTCTTTTTTTTTTTTTTAAGACAGAGTTTCCTTCTATCACCCAGCCTGGGGTACAATGGTGTGATTTCAACTAACTGCAACCTCTGCTTCCCAGGTTCAAGTGATCCTCCTGCCTCAGCTGCCTGAGTAACTGAGACTACAGGTGCATGCCACGACACCCAGCTAATATTAGTATTTCATGTCAAGATGGGTTTTCACCATGTTGAGCAGGCTGGTCTCAAACTTCTGACCTCAGGTGATCCACTCACCTTGGTCTCCCATAGTGCTGGGATTACAAGTGTGAGCCACTATGCCTGGCCAGGAATGTCTCTTTCTGACAGAATCAGGAGCCTGAAGTTGTCTTGGGACCCCAAGAAGAGAGAAATTCACCCAACTCACAGGTATCTGATGGTACAAACCCATGGCTGGGCTTGGCTTTTAAAAAGTCTTTTCTGATATTCCTTTAATGGAACATAGTTATATCAAAGCCAATTTTAAAAACCTATGTGAAAAATAATTATTTTTGCTGCACTTTATACAAATAATCAGGCCAACTATAAGACTAAAGCTTTTTATGCAAGTAAATCAGTTTTACCATGATTTGTCTTTAGTAGAAATGGAAGACTGGAGAGAGAAAAAAATCATGTTTCAAGAACTATGGTACACCTGTTGTTACACACTAGTCTCATTTGTTGTTTTTGAGTATTTTCCCTGCTATTTAGACTAATTCTGCTTATTCCTTTGAACACACCAGTGATCTCTGACTGCAGCTCAAAAGAAACAAGAGAGATGGGTAATATAAAAATCCAGATCAGGCACCAGGCACGGTGGCTCATGCCTGTAATCCCAGCACTTTGGGAGGCCGAGGTGGGCAGATCACGATGTCAGGGGTTCGAGACCAGCCTGGCCCACATGGTGAAACCCTGTCTCTGCTAAAAATACAAAAATTAGCCGGGCGTGGTGGCACGTGCCTGTAATCCCAGCTACTGAGGAAGCTAAGGCAGGAGAATCACTTGAACCTGGGAGCCAGAGTTGCAGTGAGCCAAGATTGCACCACTGCACTCCAGCCTGGCCGACAGAGCAAGACTCCATCTCAAAAAAAAAAAAAAAAAATCCGGATCACTAATCTAATTCTGAACACATATTGGAATCAGGTAGCAAACCCATATCAGCTTCTTCCCAACATTTGCCCTTATTTAGTTTACTTGGGATAATTTTACTTATTTTACTTTACTTGGGATAATTTTACTTATTTTACTTTACTGTTGTGGATTATATTGTTGTTGTGCTCTTTGTGTAGAAATGCAAGATAAGCTTGCTCAATGTTTTCTTAAGTAGAACACTTAATTTTGCAGATATCAACATTTGTTAAGAACTCAAGACTTATAAATGATCCTTGTAATATTGATGCTTTCTCACCTGGCTGGGCATGGTGGTTCACGCCTGTAATCTTAACACTTTGGGAGGCCAAAGCAGGTGGATTGCCTGAGATCAAGAGTTCAAGACCAGCTTGGCCAACATGGTAAAACCCTGTCTCTACTAAAAATAGAAAAATCAGCTGGGCATGGTGGTGGGTACCTGTAATCCCAGCTTCTCATGAGGCTGAGGCAAGAGAATCGCTTGAACCCAGGAGGCGGAAGCTGCAGTGAGCTGAGATCGTGCCACTGCATTCCAGCCTGGGCAACAGAGTGAGACTCTGTCTGAAAAAAAAAAAGAAAAGAAAGTAGGAAAGAAAGAAAGAAAAGAAAAAAAAAAAAGAAGAGTCAAATCACCTAGGCGCTGGGCCCAGAGATACTCTATAACCCCTCACTGGGCACAGCCAAAGCAGGAGAAAAATTTACATAACCTAGATGCTGGGTACAGCAGTATGTCCCAATACCCCTTGAAAGAAGGGTGAGCCAGAGAGTAATATCACCCATGTGAGGGACCAAAAGGTATGTTACAATGCCTTCTGTAGGCAGAGGACAGGGTGGAGGATTACATCACCTTCATGTTGGACTCAGCAATATGTCACAATGGCCCATGTGGGCAAAACACAGGCACGAGAGTCACATAACCTAAGTGCGAGGAGCCACAATATGTCAAAGTTGTCTCTATGGGCAGAACCAAGACATTGACTAAGCGCTGGTGCAGAAAGATGTCACTACCCAGTCTGTGGGCTGAGCCCAGGCAGGAGCATAAAATTGCTCAAGTGCTAGGCTGAGGTATATGTCACAGTCACAGCTACATGAAGGTCCAGAGATGAGATTAACCATCCTGATCATGTCTTGGTTCTAGGTATGAGAGGCACCACCTCCTGTATGTTGGGTATAGGTGTATAACCCACAATCTCAACAGTTTGCTGAATCCATCCATAAGAGCCTCAATCCCTCCTACAGACTGTGTCCCTTTAGTGGAGTCAAAGCCTCACAGATATGCTGGATCTTGGTCTTAGTGTCACCAACCCACCTGTGAACCGAATCCATGTATGAACCAGTTTTCCATCTTCAACTTTCTTTGGATGTGAGATTCAGAACCTCAACAGTCAGCTGTGTTCATGTGGAAGAATGACAATATTTACTGCCAGCTGGGTACATATATGAGTGTCATAATCGCACCTCTATACCATGCTCTGTTAGGACACCCTTTGTATCACCTGAGGGATATGTATATATGATAATGGGTGTGTGTGTGTGTGTGTGTATATATATATATATATATATATGATAATGTGTATATATATATATGATAATGTATATATATATGATAATGTGTATATATATATGATAATGTGTGTATATATATGATAATTTGCATATATATATGATAATGTGTATATATATGTATATATACACATTAAAGTCACAGTATGCTCTGAGACTTTGTGCATCTACAGACTCATGATCCTACCTGTGGCCCCAAACCCAGGACTAAGAGTCAACATCTCTCCATTGAATGCATCCAGGTAGAAAGGATCTAACTTGCCAGAATTAGAAATGAGTCACCATGTCAACTGTAGCTGGATGTTCACATATGACGGTCACAATCCAAACTGTGGGCTGTGTCAATGTGTGAAATTCAGGACCTCTCCAATGGGGTCTGTCCATCTGTGAGGGCGACAGTCTTAACAGTTGGTGGTATGTGCATATAAGAAACACAGTCTCACCTGTTTAGTGTGCCCTGTAATGACACTTTCTGTACCACTCAAGGGCTTTATATAATATGTAAAAAATAGTAGTCTTTTATGACCTTAATACATAGAGAAGACCCATAATCTCTCTCATTTTCCTAAGTCTGGTTATGGGAGACAGTATCTCTTCTATTGGCTGGTTTGAGGTATAAGAGCATTTAATAAACCTGTGAGCTGGACAAAATATATGTCACAATTCTACCTGTGGGTAGGAAGTGAGCAGCAGATTCACATCACATAGGTTTTTGGCAAAGATATGTCACAATCTTTCCTGAGGTCAGAAACCAGGCAGAAGTCATATCACCTAGGTGTTCAGCCACAGATATATTACAATCCCCTCTTAAAGCAGAGTACAGGCAGCAGAGTCATTTCACCTGGGTGCTGAGCCCAGTGATATGTCAAAATGCTCTCTGTGGGCACAGCCTTGGCAGGAGAGACACATCATCTGGTGACTGGGTCCAGCAATACATTACAACATTTTCTGTGGGCAGGATGCAGGCAAAAGAAGAGAGTCACATCTCTTAGGTGATGGAGGAAGAGACATCTTACAAGGCCCCTCATGGGCAGGGCACAGGCAGGAGCCTCCCACCCTGAAGGAATGATGCCCAGCTATATGTAACAATACCCAAGATATGCTGGGCCCAGGGAAAACAGAAGAGTAGCATCACTTAAGTGCTGGGTTTAGTGATGTGTCAAAATCCCCCATTTTGTCAGGGCCCAAGCAGAAGAGAAGAGTCACATCACCTAGGTGATGAATGAACAGATATGTTATAATACCTCTGTAGGCAGGGCCCAAACAGATTTGCATCACAAAAGTGTTTGGTCCAGGCAGGAGAGGAAAGTCACGTCACCTAGGTGTTAAGCCCAGTGACATATCACAATCTGTTCTTGGGCAGAGACCAAGAAGTAGAGGAAAGTCACTTCCCCTGGGTTCTAGGGCCAGCAAAATGTCACAATGCCCTCTGTGGAAAGTGCTAAGGCAAAAGTGTAGTCTCACACCACCTAGATGCTGGGTTCAGTGATATGCCACAATTTCACCTGTAGGACCTAGGCAGAAGGGTCAAATCACTCAGTTGCTGGGAAGAGCTGTATGATACAATCACACATGCAAGATGGTGTAAGAATGAGATTAACGATCCCATACATGATCTGGTTCAAGGTACGAGAGTCAATACCTACTGTATGTTGTGTCTAATTACACGAGTCACCATCTCAAAGGTGAACTGGATCTGTGTATTAAATCCTCAATCCCTCCCATGAACTGTGTTCCCTCAGTGGAGTCAGAGGCTCACAGGTGTGCTGAATCTTGGTCTGAGAGTCACCAACCCATCTGTGGACAAGATCCATGTATGTGATTCAATTTTTCAACTTTCAACTGCCTTTGGGTGTGAGGTTCAGAACCTCAAAATTGGCTGGGTTCATGTGGGAAAATGACAATCTTTACTATTGTCAGGGTGCGCACAGGAGTGTCATAATCTCACCTGTGTGCTTGGCCCTTTAGGACACTCTCTGTACTACCCTAGGGCTTTACATGGTTTGCATGAGAGCCACAATCCAGCTTGAGATTTTCATGCTGGTATAAACCTATGATTGTATCTGTGTCTCTAAGCCCAGTTATGAGAGTCAACATCTCTCCAATTTTCTGGGTTCAGATAGGAGAGCCCTCACTTTCCTATGAGCTGCATTTAAAAATGTTTTGCTATCACTGGGTGCAGTGGCTCACACTTGTAATGCCAGCACTTTGGGAGGCTGAGGTGGGTGAATCACAAAGTCAGGAGATCGAGACCATCCTGGCTAACACGGTGAAACCCTGTCTCTACTAAAAATACAAAAAATTAGCCAGGCGTGGTGGCGGGTGCCTGTTGTCTCAGCTACTCAAGAGGCTGAGGCAGGAGAAGGGCATATACCTGGGAGGCAGAGCTTGCAGTGAGCCGAGATAGTGCCACTGCACTCCTGCACTCCTGCACTCCAGCCTGGGTGACAGAGCAAGACTCCATCTCAAAAAAAAAAAAAAAAATAGTTTTGCTATCCCAAATCTGGATGGACGGTCACATATGACAGTCACAATTCCAACTGTGGACTGCATCCATGTGTGGGATTCACAATTGCAGTCTGTCCACCTGTGAGGGTCACAATTTTAACAGGTGCTTGGTTGTCCATACATGCAAGTCAATCTCATCTGTGTGCTGGGCTCTGTGATGACACACTGTGTACAATCCAAAGGCTTTATACCATAGGTGAGAGTGTGGTAATCCCCTCTGACCTTCATAAAAATAGGAGACCCTGAATCTTACCAATTTTCCTAAGCCTAGCTATGAGAAGCAGCATATCAACTGTCGTCTGGTTTAAGATATGAGAGTCATCATCTCACCTGTGAGATGGGACATGTAACCTGTGAGTAGGTAGTGAGTAGGAGAGTCACATCACCTGAGTGCTTGGCCAGAGATTTGTACAATATTCCCCGCTAGAAGGGACCAGGCAGGAGAGGACTATCACCTGGGTGCTTGGCCAGAGATTTGTACAATATTCCCTGATAGAAGGTACCAGGCAGGAGAGGAACATCACCTGGGTGCTGAGCCCAGTGATATGTCACAATGCTCCCTTTGGGCAAGGTTCAGGCAAAAGAAACACATCATCTGGTCAGTAGGCCCAGCAATATGTTACAGTCTTCTCTATAGGCAGGGTGCAGGTAGAAGAGGACAGTCATATCTCACTGGTAATGGATGCAGAGATATGTCACAAGGCCTTCTGTGAGCAGGACGCATGCATGTGCCTCCTATCCCCTATGTGTTGAGTCCAGTGATATGATACAATACCCAAATATGCAGGGCCCAGGCAAAATAGGAGTGTCACCTCACCTAGGTTCTGGGTCCAGTGATTCATTACAATCCCCTTTTATTGGCAGGGCCCAGGCAGAAGAGAAGAGGCACATCACCTAGGGGATGAATGAAAAAATATATCTTAATACCCCTGTAAATAGAACCCACGCATAAGAGTCACATCAACTAGGTGGTGGACCCAGCCATATGTCACAATACACAATGTAGGCAGGGCCCAAACATAAAAGGAGAGTCACATCTTCTAGGTGCTAGGACTAGTGATACATCACAATCCCTCCTTGGGCAGAGTCTAAGCAGGCAAGGGGAGTCACATCACCTAAATGCTGAGTCCAGCAATGTGTCACAATAACTCCTGAGGGAAGAGTCCAAGCAGTATTGTTATATCACCTGGGTGCTGGGACAGGAATATGTTGCAATCTTCCTTGAAAGCAAAGACTAGGCAGGAGAATCACATCACCTAGTTTCTGGGACCAGCAATATTGTCACAGTGCTTCCCAGTGGACTAGGCCCAGGCTGGAGAAACACATGACCTGGTTGCCAGACCCAGTCACAATCTTCCCTGAGGGTAGAGAACAGGCAGGAAAAAGGCACAACCCCTACAAGATAGATGCTGAGAAATACAATAAGCCCCCTCTAGTCAGGGTCAAGGTAAAAGTCTCTTATCTCCTAGGTGTTGGACCCAGCAATATGTCCAATACCAAAAATACGCAAGGCCCAGGTAAAAGAGGTGAGTCACATCACTAAGATGCTGGGTCCAGTGATAAGTCACTATTATTCTTTCTGGCAGGGACCAGGCAGAAAATGTGATTCACATCACCTAGGTGACTAACGACATGATAGGTAATAATGTCCCTGGGGGCAGAGCCCATACAGGAGAATCAAATGACTCAGACATTGCACCCAGACACATGTCACAATAGCAATGTATGTACAGCCCAGGCAGGAGAGGAGAGTCACATAACCTAGGTGCTGGGCCCAGTGATAAATCACAGTTTCTTATTGGGCAGAGCACAAGTGGTAGAGAAGAGTCATATCACCTAGTTGCTTGGTCTGACAATATGTAACAATACCCCCTGAGGAGCAGGCTCAGGCAGGAGAGTCACATCACCTAGGTGATGAGCTCAGAGATATGTCACAATGCCCTCAGGTGCGTAGGGCTTAGGAAGAAAAGAAAAATTACATAAACTAGGTCCAGGGCTCACCCATATGTAATGATCACCCCAGTGGGGGAGCACCCAGGCATGACAAGAGAGTCACATCATGTAGGAGCTGGCTCAAGCAATATGTAGCAATCTCCATTGTGGACAGGACTGAAAAAAAGACTGGCCACATCAGCCATCAACCATGTGATGAAATCAGAAATATGTCAAAATTATTCCTGTGAGCAAAGACCAGGCAGAAGAATTACATCATGTGTGCTGGGCTTAGTAATAAGTCACTCTCTTCTCTGTGGGCATGGTCCAGGCAAAAGAAAAAAGTCACATTACCTAGGTGCTGGGCCCAGAGTTATGTCACAACCTCTTCTATGGAGAAAGCCCAGGTAAAAGAGAAGAGTCACATCAAATAGTTGATGGGCTCAGAGATATGTCACAGTGCCCCTTGTTAACAGGGTCCAGGCAGAAGACTTACATCTTCTTCGTGCTGGGTTCAGCAGTATTTCACAATGTTGTTTGAGAGCAGGACCAAGGAAAGAGAGTAACATAACCTTGGTGTTGGGCCCAGTGATATGTCACAATGTCCCCTGTGGGCAAAACCTAGAAAAAAGAGAGGAATCACATTATCTAGGTGCTGGACCTGGCAGTCTGTTTCAATACCCTCTGTAAGCAGGAACTAGGCAGGAAAGGAGAGTCACATCACCTATGTAATGGTCACAGCGATACGTCAGAATGCTCTCTGTAGGCAAGGCCTAGGCAGGAGATTTACATCACCTGGGTGTTACACTCAGGAATATGTCACAATGGCCCATGTAAGGCACAGGCAGGAGAGTCACATAACCTGGATGTTGGGTGCAGTGATATGTCACAGTGTTCCCTATGGGCAATGCCAAGTCAGGAGAATAGATTCCCATCACCTAGGTCCTGAGTTCAGCGATGTGTCACAATCCTATCTGTGACCTGAGCCCAGGCAGGAGAGTCAAATCACTCAAGTGCTGGACAAAGGCATATGTCACAATCACAGCTGCAGGGTGGTCCATAAATGAGATTATCAATTCTGCACATGTTCAGGAGTTACAATCTCAACTGGGGACTTTATCTCTGCATGAGAGCTTCTATTTGTCCTGCACGCTGGGTGTCCTTAGTGGAGTCAAAGTCTCTTAGGTTTCAGGTATCCTGAATCTTGGTCTGAGAGTCACCAACTCATCCTATTGCTGGGTCAATGTTGCAGCAGACCTGTACCCATACGGATTCACTGCCAGTAACAGGTAACAGGTAGGAGAGAACAGTAACATCTCCTAGGTGCTTGATCCAAACATGTCACAATAGCCTCTTTGGGGAGGGCTCAGATGAAAGAGTCCCATTATCTAGGTGAAGTGTTTAGAGATATGTCACAATGCTCCCTGTGGGCAGGACTCAGGAAGAAGAGAAGAGTCACATAACCTAGAAGCTGTGCCCAGCTGTATGTCACAACCAGCCCAGTGGGAAGAGCCAAGGCATCAGATGAGAGTCACATCACATAGGTGCTGGGTCAAGTGATATGTCACAATCTCCTTTTGTGGACAGGACCCAGGAAGAAAAAAAGTCTCACATCATCTAGGAGGAGAGCCCAAAAATATGTAACGATGATTCTCGTGGGCAAGAATCAAGGCAGTAGAGTGAAGTCACCTGTGTGCTGGACCCATGGGTAAATGATTCTTCCTTTTGTAGACATGGCCCAGGCACAATTACATCAACTAGGTGCTGTGCCCACAGAAATATTACATTCTCTCCTATGGGCAAAGAGCTGGCATAACAAGATAATCGCTTCAAATAGTTTTGAGCTTTCAGAGATATGTCACGATGATCTCTGTGGTCAGGGACCACGCAGAAGACTCACATCATGTTGGTGGTGGGCCCAACAATATGTCACAATGTTTTCTGAGAAGAAGGTCAAGGTAAAAGAGTAATGTCACTTTGGTATTGGGCCCAGCAATATGTCACTATCTCCCATGTGAGCAGAGACCAGGTAAGAGAAGAGAATCATATCACCTTAGTTATGAGCACAGACATATGTCACAAAGCCCCAAGTAGGTAGTGCCAAGGCAGGAGAATACTGTCACATTACCTAGGTGCTGGATCCTGTGATATGCCGCAATCCAATTTGTCAGCTAAGACCTCACAAAAAAGTCAAGTCACTCAGGTGCTGGGAGATGCAGGAAGATTCGGGGGTAAGATTAATAATTCCACACATGGCAGGGTGTCCACAGTTCTGGCCCCAGACCCCAGGTCCCGGCCAGATTCCCCAAAGTCAGAGGCTGGAATCTGGTGGTGGATGTAGGGTGTCAGCTGAGCCCAACCCCTGCCCAGCGGTGGCCAGCATCTAATAATTAGTAACTCCACACAGCGGCTCACACCTGTAATCCCAGCAATTTGGGAGGCTGAGGTAGACGGATCACCTGAGGTCAGGAGTTTGAGACCAGCCTGGCCAACATGGCAAAACCCTGTCTCTACTAAAAACACAAAAATTAGCCGGGCATTGTGGCACATGCCTGTAATCCCAGCTGCTCAGGAGGCTGAGAAAGAAGAAACGCTTGAACCTAGGAGGTGGAGGTTGCAGTGAGCCGAGATCATGCCACTGCACTCCAACGTGGGTGACAGAGCAACAGTCCATCTCAAAAAAAGAAAGAAAATAATGATAATAATAATTCCACACATGTCCCAGTTCTAGGTATGAGGGTCAACACCTCCTGAATGTTGAGTCTAAGTACATGAGTCACAATCTCAACAGTAGACTGCATCAAAGCCTCTATTCTTCCTGCAAACTTTGTCTTCTTAGTAAAGTCACAGCCTTACAGGTTTGCTGAGTCATGGTGTGAGAGTCAACAACCAGCCTGTAAACCAGATCCATGTGTGCAAGTCAATTTTCCATCTTTTGACCACCTTTGGGTGTAGGATTCGGAACCTCAACAGTGGGCTCTGTGAAGTCACCAGCTGAAGGGCTATTCATGCACGAAAAGTTGTTATTTTATCATCATTGTTTCTATTGCTTTTACCTTGCTAAGAATACATGTGTAGCTTATAATTGTGCTAGAAAACCATAAGGGTTTTGGTTAAATTACCCGTTGTTGTATGTTATGAAATAGACAAAAAATTGGCAAAAATAGATTAAAATTATACAAACTTGGTGTCAACTTTCTCTTGGGCAAGTTTAGGAAAGACAGACCTGGAAATACCCCAGTAAAAGGCTAATCAGAATCTCAGAAAAATTGCAACCATTAGTCCTTTATCTACCTATGACCTGGCAGCTCCCGCCCTGCTTCGAGTTCTCCCACTTTCCTGGACAATGTACACCTTCCATATATCGATTAATGTCTCCTGACTCCTAAAATGTATAAAATCAAGCTGTGACCCAACCACCTTAGGCCCGCGTTGTCACGACCTCGTGAGGCGGTGTCACGGGTGTGTCTTTAATCTTGGCAAAATAAACTTTCTAAATTGAGACCTGTCTCAGATACTTTGGGGTTCACTTTACTAATTTTAGGTAGAATTTAAAATTCTTAAAATAGAAACAAACATAAGGACTAAACTGAGAAAAACTTTAAAAAGTATACTCAAATTCACTGACACAATCATGGGTATATCTAAATAATGAGATTCCGTTTTAAGTAAGAAGAAAATACGTAATTACGAAGGAGGCTTTACCTTTGGGAAAACAAAAAGCCACTTTTGACCAATTATTCCCACAGATACACACCCGGGTCCCCAACCACCCGCCAGGAGGGCCCATCCTGGTGCCTGGAAGGCGGGGGTTCCTGCGATCTGGGGTTGGGATTTCGGCTCAGGCCGTGCGCGGTGGCCTTGGGTCGCGCCCGCCCTGCCTGGGCCCCCAGCCCAAGGGACCGAGCGGGTGCGGGCGGGGCGGGCGGGGCGGGCGGGGCGGGGGTGTCGGGGGCTCGGACTCGGAGCCGTCCCTGCCAGTGGCTTTCGTGGGCGGCCCCGCCTTGGAGCCCAGGCCAACGAGCCGCGCGGGACGGAAGAGCTGCGGGTGGGGAGGGACAAGCGGGCGGAGAAGGGGCGGCCCTGCTGGAGGCCCAGCGAGTCTGAGTGATTGACAAGTGAATGAGCTGGGAATGAAGACTCCTGGGGCCGGGAGGGAGAGAGGGGGTTGGAGGGTGGTGAATGCCTGGGCCTCTGGGGCTCCAGGCTGCCAGTGGCCCGACCAGGCTCTCGGTGTCCTCCTCCAACCTCAGTTTCCTCACCTGTCCCAGAGGACGAATATGACTGTTGTGATGATTAGGCCAGATAATCCTGGTAAGCATTTATTAGCCTGCCTGGTCTCTGGATATTTTTTTTTTCTTGGTAAAGACATTTTGCCGCCCAATATCTACTATTGGAGAGAGAGTTTGGGAGGCAGAAGGTAGGACTCACCCTTGGCTTCAGAGTCCCTTATGGGTGCCCCATCCCCTTAGGTTCAATTAAAGCACATAGTTGGAAACAAGTCCCCTACCCAGGACAGCTACAGAGTCCAGAACCAGAAGATCTTGTTTTCTGAACCAAGGACTTTGTCTTATCCCCAAATCCTAATTCCTCAGGGTGGTCAGCTTCAGACAGGAGTCTGAAATTGATTCTCGCTCTCCGGGGTGGATCCAAGGCTCTTGTGATGCGGTGTTGTTCTACCCCATCCCACCCCTGTGCCTCCCCCAATGCATTGGGAGTCCTTAACCGTAGTGACTTCAATTTGGAAACAATGCTCCCAAAGCAGGAGATGTGGCCCTCCCCAGGCAGCTGGCCTGATAAACATCTGTCCTGGGGCAAAAGACCCAGAGCAGGGAGGGACTCTCACTTCCCACTTTCACATGCTATAGTCATTTAATGGGCTGTGGTGACATCTCTGGGTCACCTAGCCTGCAGAATGGGATGTTGACTTTGTGCCACAATGAGGGAAACGGAGGCACAGGGCTAGTGAGTGAAAAAAATCAGAAAGACTCTGTGACTAGGAAACACTATTCAGGCCCACGGCCCCTACAGGACTCAGCATCCTTTGGGGTGCACCAGTGGGTGGTATGCGGCACCCTGGTTGCCATCTGTACCTTATGGGGGTGAGGGTGACGGTGAGTGTCCTGGCAGGACAAGGTGCTCTAGGACCCACGAGGTAGATAGACATTGCCCGCCTTTCCCTGGCTGTGGGCACAGCAAGAGTTCTGTTCTCTAATGTATGTGAGGACCAGTGCCTACATGCAATAGACACTTCTCATTTCAGACATTCCAAAGATTTTAGGGGCTGCATAGAAAGAAACTGAGACAGACTCTAACCACATCCTCACACTGACAGGAGCCTCCAGTCTAGGCTCAGCTCTGACTCTTCCTGGGGAGGTTTGCTCCACCCTCGTCCTTCCAACTAGAACCCACTCCCGGTAGGCCTGTGCACGCCCATCTTTTACAGCAGCAGCATGTCTTGGTAACTTGACATTTTCTGCAATAATCTTGCTGTTTGTTGTTTACTTCTTTAGTGTTTGTTCCTGGCAGCTGTGTCTAGTTCACCACTGTGTTCCCAGTGCCAAGCACAGTGCTCGGCCCGTGGGAGGTGCTCAATGAGCAGTTGTTTAATCAATGAACAATGGCTCTGTCTATGCCAGGGAAGCAGGAGTAGGTCAGAGCACACCTTAGCTCACCCATTTCCTGTCTGGGTGACCTTGGATAAGTCCTGAACTTTTTTCCTTTCAGTCACCTTGTCTGTGACATGGAGATTAATTAAACTTACCTGAGTTATTTCTGATGAGAATTTAATGCGCAAAAGTATCTAAAATGCTTCTAAACACAGGCTGGCACAGTGAGAGTGCGGCACACATGTGAGCTGTTTGCATTATCATGCCGCAGGTTGTTGGAATTCTTTTTCACTCATCATTTGGATCTTGAAACTCTGTTTACCTCATTGCATATAAGGAAAATACATTTTGAATTATGTTTAGTATTTCACACTGAAATTATTTAAAATGTCTATAGCTAGGTAAGATGTGGTTGCTCATGCCACCATCAAACCACAGCACTCCAGCCTAAGTGATAGAGTGAGATCCTGTCTCAAAAAATACATGTAAATAGTTGGCTGGGCGTGGTGGCTCACACCTGTAATCCCAGCACTTTGGGAGGCCGAGGTGGGCAGGATCACAAGGTCAGGAGATCGAGACCATCCTGGCTAACACAGTGAAACCCCGTCTCTACTAAAAATAAAAATAAAAAATAGCTGGGCATGGTGGCGGACACCTGTAGTCCCAGCTACTCCGGAGGCTGAGGTAGGAGAATGGTGTGAACCCGGGAGGCGGAGCTTGCAGTGAGTTGAAATAGCACCACTGCACTCCGGCCTGGGCAACTGAGCGAGACTCCATCTCAAAAAAAAAAATACATATAATTAATTGATATTTATATATGATTCCTGTGTGCTGCATAACTCTTGTAGCACAGAGTTGTTTATTTTTTAGATAATGTACATTACACAGAGTTGTTTATTTTTTAGATAATGTACATTATTTGCCTTTTTCAGTGATATTTTTGTATTTTATATTCAGTTGAAATAGCATTTCTATTAGTTGTACAAATAAATATATTATTTCCTATTTTCAGCTAATAACCATAGCTGCATAGTTTTAAAATATTTTATTAACTTATCTGGAAGAGTTGATAAGATAAACTTATTTTATATTTTGTGTATGAACATATAAATATATTTTATGTTTTTGTGTGTGAATATATAAAAATATTTTATATTTTGTATTTGAACATATAAATATCTGGACACTGTAATAAACTGATAATACATTTCAAATGCTTTTGTTAATCACTCTATTTTTAATCACTCTATTTTAGATTCATCCTTTTTATACATTCTATGAATGGATGGATGGAGAATACGTAGACAGATAGTATATAAATGTATGTGTAGATAAATGTAGATGCAAATACACATCTGTTGAGACAATGCTGCTTTCAAAATCACAGAGAATGGTCACATTTTAACCTTTTATGGAATTAAATAAAACAAAAGATTTTCTATTTTTAATTACATTTACATTTTAATAATACAATACATAAATAACATATTTTTAATAAAATTCTGGATTCCATTTAATATTATATTATTAGAACTTCTGTATCTATTCTGACACTTGAGATTAACTTTAACTTTCCTTTTGCTGAGTTTGCCCAGTTTTTATTTGAAGTAATACTACATCATGGGATCACCTTAGAGGCTTTCTATATTTATATGTTTTGCATCAGTTTCTAAAATCTGGAAATTATCTCATTTTGAATTTCTTATGGAAATAGAATCTTCCCCACTAAAAATATCCCATTAGTATACTGCACTTTATTATTATTATATTTTTTTTTTCCAAGACAGAGTCTAGCTCTGTTACCCAGGCTGGAGTGCAATGGTGCGATCTCGGCTCACTGCAACCTCCGCCTCCTGGGTTCAAGCAATTCTCCTGCCTCAGCCTCCGAAATAGCTGGGTTTACAAGCGCCTGCCACCACGCCCAGCTAATTTTTGTATTTTTAGTAGAGATGGGGCTTCACTGTGTTGGCCAGGCTGGTCTCGAGCTCCTGCCCTTGTAATCTGCCCTCCTCGGCCTCCCAAAGTGCTGGGATTACAGGCGTGAGCCACTGTGCCTGGCTACTGCACTAAATGTTTCTCTTTCTGGTTATATTATCTATATAATATTTAGTTATTTTTATTTATTTTAATTTGCTTTCAATTTTCGTATTTGCTTTTGAAATTACTTTTTTAACTGGCATAATATTCCCTTGGATTCTATTAATGAACGTCCGTGCTGTTTTATATTTTGATATTAAAAATAAAACCTCAGTGTGGATGTGATGGCTCATGCCTGTAATTCCAGCATTTTGGGAGGCTGAGGTGGGAGGATTACTTAAGTCCAGGAGTTTGAGACCAGACTGGGCTACATAATGTGGCTGCCTGTTGTCTAAGTCATCTGAACTCCCTTGGGGAGGGGCAGCAGCCATCACTGCAGCTGCTAGCTACCAATGACACTAAGCCCCTGGGGTGCAGGGGAGGGTGGCAGTCATCACTGTAGCTCCAGGCCATGCTATTCCCCTGTTGGAGCCAAGGAGGTTAGACCGCTTGGTCCCAAGAGGCATTCCCCACAGCACAGCACACCAGCTGTTGCAGACAATGGCCTGACTCTCTCTTTAGGCCAGACCTTCATCCATCCCTTCTCACTGAGTGGGGCCTCCCTGCAGAAACTCCAACAACTCCAGCTGGGAGCTCAGGGACAAAACCTTGATCTTCCTGGGCCTGACCCCCTAGGGGGAGAGGTTGCCATAGTCTCCATGGACCAGCAGACTTAGTCTTTCCTCTTGCTAGCTCTGCAAAATTCAGGCAGCCCAGATGAGTCAGTTTCCCTCCACCACAGCACACCCCCTCCACCAAGGGACAGCCAAAATGCTTCCTTAAATGGTTCCTGGTTCCCATGCCCTCAACTGTGTGAGACCCCCAATAGGGGTCTCCAGACACTTTATACAGAAGCATTCCTCCTGACATTAGGTCACTGTCCCTTGGAGTCAGAAATCCCAGAGGAAGGAGGAGGCACCCATCTTTGCTGTTCTCCAGCTTTCTCTGTGGGCATCTCCAGGTGCAGGAGTGACCCAGATAAATAGGCCTGAAGTGAACCCCCAGCAAACCACTGTAGCCTTACAGAAGAGGAACATGCCTATTGAAAGAAAAACAAATAAAAGGCTACAGCAACAATGTCAACAAAAAAAGTTCCTACAATGGCCGGGCATGGTGGCTCACAACTGTAATCCCAGCACTTTGGGAGGCTGAGGCAGGTGGATCATGAGGTCAGGAGTTTCAGACCAGCCTGGCCAAGATAGTGAAACCCCGTCTCTACTAAAAATACAAAAATTAGCCAGGTGCCATGCTGGGCACCTGTAATCCCAGCTACTCGGGAGGCTGAGGCAGTAGAATTGCTTGAAGCCAGGAGGTGGAGGTTGCAGTGAGCTGAGATCATGCCACTGCACACCAGCGGGGGTGACAGAGCAAGACTCCATCTTGAAAAAAAAAAAAGTCCCCACAAAAACTTCAGCTAAGAGTCAGCAGCCTCAAAGATCAAAACTGGACAAACTCATGAAGATAAGAAAGAATCAACACAACATTGCTGAACACACAAAAGACCAGAGTGCTTCCTCTCTAAATGATCACAACACCTCTCCAGCAAGGGCACAGATCTGAACAGAGAAAAGACTGATGAATTGACAGAAGTAGGCTTCAGAAAGTGGGTAATAACAAACTTCAAGGAGGTAAAGATGCATGTCCTCACTCAATGCAAAGAAGATAAGAACCATGATAAAAGATTACATGAGTTGCTAACTGGAATAACCAGTTTAGAGAGAAACATAAATGATCTGATGGAGCTGAAAACACAGCACAAGAACTTTGTAAAGTATACACAGGTATCAGTAGCCAAAGCTATCAAGCAGAAGAAAGAATATCAGAGCTTGAAGACTATCTTGCTGAAATAAGGCAGGCAGACAAGATGAGAGAAAAAAGAATAAAAAGGAATGAACAAAACCTTTGAGAACTATGGGACTATGTAAAAAGACCAAACCTATGACTGATTGGAGTTCCCAAAAGAGATGGGGAGAATGAAACCAAGCTGGAAAACACACTTCAGGAGATCATCCAGGAGAAATTCCCCAACCTAGAAAGACAGACCAACATTCAAATTTAGAAAATACAGAGAACCTCAGTATGATACTTCATGAGAAGATCAACCCCAAGACATATAATCATCAGATTCTCCAGGGTCGAAATGAAGGAAGAAATGCTAAGGCCAGCCAGAGAGAAAAGTCAGGTCATCTACAAAGGGAAGTCTATCAGACTAAAAGCAGATCTCTCAGCAGAAACTCTACAAGCAGAAGAGAGTGGGGGGCCAATATTTAACATTCTGGAATAAACTAATTTTCAACCCAGAATTTATATCCAGGCAAACTAAGCTTCATAAGCAAAGGAGTAATAAAATCCTTTTCAGACAAGTAAATGCTGAAAGAATTCATCACCACAAGGCCTGCCTTGCTAGAACTCCTGAAAGAAGCATTAAATATGGAAAAAAACAAACAAACAAACAAACACCCATAACAGCCACTGCAAAGACACACTGAAATACAAAGATCAATGACACTGTGAACAATCTGCATCAACTAGTGTGCAAAATAACCAGCTAGCATCATGATGATGGGATCAACTTCACACATAACAATATTAGCGTTAAACATAAATGGGTTAAATGGACCAATTAAAAGATATAGACTGGCCAATTGGATGAAGATTAAAGATTTATTGGTGTGCTGTATTCAAGAGACTCGTTTCACATGCAAAGACACACATATGCCCAAAATAAAAAAAAAAAAAAAAAAAGGAAAATTTACTAAGCAAATGGGAAGCAGAAAAAAGCAGGGGTGGCAATTCTAGTTTCCTACAAAACAGGCTTTAAACCAACAAAGATCAAAAAAAGCAAAGAAGGGCATTACATAAGGTAGCAAGACAAACTGCAGACAAAACCCCTCAGACACCGAGTTAAAGAAGGAAGGGCTTTATTCGGCCGGGAGCTTCAGCAAGACTCATGTCTCCAAAAACCGAGCTCCCCCAGTGAGCAATTCCTGTCTCTTTTAAGGGCTTACAACTCTAAGGGGGTCCATATGAGAGGGTCATGATCAATTGAGCAAGCAGGGGGTACGTGACTGGGGACTGCATGCACTGGTAATCAGAATGGAACAGAACAGGACAGGGATTTTCACAATGCTTTTCCATACAATGTCTGGAATCTATACATAACATAACCAATTAGGTTAGGGGTCAATCTTTAACCAGGCCCAGGGTGAGACACCAGGCTGTCTGCCTGTGGATTTCATTTCTGCCTTTAGTTTTTACTTCTTCTTTCTTTGGAGGCAGAAATTGGGCAAAAGACAATATGTGGGGTTGCTGCCAGAGCCCTTAGACATGGAGGCCAGCCTTTGGAAACCCCATCTAGTTGTTTTGAGAGATAGGCCACTGGCCTTGGCCAGGGCCCCACAGCCTGGGTTGAAACTCCAACTGCCATTATTTCTCTTTCTGACACATAGAGTGTAAAGGGTTTTGTCAAGTCAGGTATCCCCAGGGCTGGGGCCAACATCAGTTTTTCTTTTAACTCATGAAAAGCTCATTGCTGTTGGTTATAATAGAAGTAGTTTATCCAATCTACATTTTTATTAAGTGTCGTCCACCAAAATATTGTCTCAAATCCTGCAGCTATTTGATTTCAAGCTTTAAATTGATCTGGTATTCCCCATGGGACTCCAATTACATCTAAATAGATGTGAGAGTCGAAAGACCCATAAGGGGCTTCTCTCACTTTATGGTGTCTTATTTTTCCTCCCTCTTGTTGATGAAATGCCAGGGTGAAAGGGATAGCCAATTGGACTAAAGTACAAATTCCACTCCAGTTATTTGGCAGAGTGCCCAGTAAAGGTCCATCACAATACCACCACACATCCATGCCAGGATGAACAAAGGGCTGACTGATTGATAAGCTCTTGAAAATTCTTAAGCTCAGTACATCCCTTCAGGTTTCCAAGGAATGCTAAGTTTCCTCCCTATCATGAGAGATGCAAAGTGAACTTAGTGTTGGGAGATGGAAGCTGGATGGCCCTTGGGGGCAGATCCACAGGGTGCCAGACTTAGGGATATAGCAGAGAGAGCTTGGCATGACTTATTACTCCAGGCTATAGAATGCTGGAAAACAGCTACCATACAGCCCATGCCTGGGCAACTGGAGGACCACCTTAGTGGAAAGGGGACAATCAGGGCCTCTGGCCTGCCATGTGCTCAAGCATAACAATTGTCTTTGTTTAATGTGTGGATGGAATATTTGATCCATTCCAACCAGGCATTTGCATCTTGGTATCCTGTCTTAATTGCCAAAGTTTGTTTTAAGTCTTTAACTTCTATGATCCTCTAGTAAAATGAATGTATGATTTTAGGAAATTACAAAAACTGGTTGGGGCAGTCCATCCTTGCTCTTTAGTGGTCCACAGAAAGTTGGACCAGCTATGGCATAAAAGCTCTACATTGGGGGCCAAGAATCCTGGTTGACATTGGAGTCTTTATCAAAATTTCCCCAGATTAAATGGTCCTAATTTACTAATGCCCAGTCTGAGGAGAGTCAGGAGGGACAGAGGTACTTTTCTGAAGTAGAGAGCTGTCTTTGACTTGGCAATTCCCCACAGGGTATAACAACGCAAGCATTAAAGGCAATGGCTTGAGGCGAAATTGACTTGGTTATGTTAATAACCCTAGAAGGTCAGCAATAGAGCAAGGAAAAAAGAAAGAGTAATAGAATAGATGAAAGAGTTAAATTTTTCTCAGCTTTAGTTTGGTAGAGTTTTCCGCTGGGACTATGGCCCATGACTCTGGAGGGGGTGGTGCTTTCTTGACTCGGGTGTGATGAGTCCATCATTTTTTCACTGTACAAACAGCAGTCTTGGTGGTTAACAGCACAAAGTAGGGTCCTTCCTAGGCTGGCTCGAGTTTCCTTTCTTTTCACCCTTTGATAAGAACGTGATCTTCAGGCTGGTGCTGGTTTGCCGGAAATTCTTGGAGTGGTACATGTGCTAAAAGACTTTTAGTTTTGAGGGAAGGGAAAGTGGAAGATAAACCAAGTATATGATTCTTAAGAAACTGACCTTTTTTTTAAATTGACCTTTTTGTTTTAAAAGTCCGTCAGCAGAGGACTTTACAGTCCTTGGTGCCTTTTACTGAGAAATTTCCTTTAGCATCTATTTTCATTAGTTTTTAGACCAAAGAAGCCAAACACCATCTTATAGTTGACAATGCTTCCTGTATGATTTTTATACCAGATAAGCTAAATGTCACCTTTATATTAGTGTGTTATTAATGTTAAACTTAGTTTTATTAAAACTTTGTAGACATGTTTATTCAATTTTTAATGTCAGACCATAAGGTAAGATTTTTATAGACTCTTTTTAACCTTTTATAATCTTTCTTGAAGAGCAGGTTAGTGCTTTAAGAAAAATCTGTTGTGTTTTTACTTTAATGTCCAGTTCACAGAAAAACTGGATGATACCCCTTTAACTTTAGCTAATATGTTAACACACAGAATTTTCTTTATAATTAACATTTTAAAACTTGCTTAAACCTTCAAAACAAATTTTTTTTAACCTTTCAATGTAGGTAAAAATTTACATTCTTATGCCTCCTTATAATCATTTTACCAAAGGTATATTTTAGTTTCCTTATACACCTTGCACATAAACTGTTTCTTCAATAGTACTCAGGAGGCCTAATTACTTTTAAAATATACAACATTTCTTGCATAATTTCTTTTTTATAACTTTTTTTCTCTTTCACGACTTTTGCAGATAATTCTTCGACATGCCTCAACTTTCTGACTTATTACAAACATTTCTTTCTTTAAACAACCAGTTAATTTGTTTCAGGACAATAATTTACCATATAACATTCTTTTTACATAAATTCTGCCCCCCCTTTTTTTCCCTTTTTTTTTTTTTTAAGATGACAACCATTCTTTTCAAAAAGCAAACTTGCTTTATGTCTGTGGACCAGACTGTCTAAGGCCACAAGATTAAAAGTTACTATAATACATGTTACACTATTAACTTTTAGCAAACTTTACTTTTGTTGAAAACCTTGTAAATTTGAGATTCCAACTATCCTTTGCTATTAATAGGACCTTGTTTAGTCCAAATTAACTTAAAATTGGTATAGATGGCTTTTTTTTTTTTTTTCATTTACCCAGTAGGAAACATCTATCATCCTGTCCTGAAGGGAGTTCCTCCTAGGTCTGGTTGGACCTTTGTATGGTAATTAAGATTTAGATCCCCTGTTAGGAAACCTGCTGGGTTAAGTGAATTTTCAGCGGTTAATGTTAAGTCTTTTTTTTTTTTTTTTTTTAACTCAGGATACTTCTGAACTGGTGAGGTGTGCTCACAATGAGGTTTCCTCTAAATTATTTTTCTACTTTCTTCTGTGAGCAAAGCAGTTGCCACTACAGATTGAATGCATTTGGGCCATCTTTGGGTTACTGGGTTAAGGATTTTTGATAGGAAGGCTACAGGTTGTCAGGGGCCTCAGTGCTTTCGGACTACGCCCTTGTTTACACTTACAAGGTGGTATTGGAGTGTTGTAGGGTCATGGAGAAGACCTTCAATTATCAATTATATTTGACTTTCTGTCTCTCTCTCTCTTTGGCTTTCCTTTTGCCTTTGTCTCTTCCTCTCTCTCTGCCTCTCTCTTTCTCTCTCTCTCTTCTTGACTCCCTCTTTGTCTCTCTGTCTCTTCCTCTCTGTCTTTTCCTCTCTCTCTTTGCTTCTTTTTCTCTCTGTCTCTTTCCTCTCTCTCTCTCTGCTGGTCTTTCCTTGCCTCTGCAAGCTGCTTATGCTGCTGTTCTCTCAACCACTGTGGGGTGGGGGGGGGGTCTAAAACCAGCTGTAACCAAGTGTCTATATACAGGAACTGGTCTGGGTGTCCTGGCTTACAGGTTACCTTGTGCCATACCTTTGTAACACGGGACCTGTCCAGGCTTCCTTCTGATAGTCAACCCACCTCTAATGCCAGTCTATCTTACACAAAGTTTTAAGTTTTCCTGCTGTCATAGTACTCCATAGTCTCCCTTAGATCCTTTCTTGAAATTTTTCAACATAGTTCCTGGTGGGGTGGGCTTACTTTGTGCCTGACCCATGCTTTCTTGAGACAAGACACCATGCTCACACCACATGCATACCACAAAACAAAGAACGGGTTAAAAGGGCACACACATACTTTTACAGTTTACACCAAACCAGAATCAAAACCAAAATCAGAGTATCAAGAAATCCAAGCCAGGTCAAAACCAAAACCAAAGTATCGAGCAATCCAAATCAAGTCAAAAACAAAAACCAAAGTGCTGGTACAGGCACATTGTGGGTGATCAGGCCACACTTCCACTCAAATGGAGTAGGCAAGTTACAAAGACCAGTCTTACCAAGTTTCAGATGTCTGGACTCCAAGTGCCATTTCCTTCCCAGTGTTCAGCCACTGCATTGATCCTCCGTGGGGGCCTGCCTTGCACCACTCTGACAAGGCATTCCACCGAGGCAAATGCCTACCCAGGAGCACTCTCAGGATCCACGTCACTCAAGCTGGCCGGAGTTCCCCATAGGGATGCTCCACAGGGCAGGCCTAAGCCACCTAAGGGGCTGCCTCAACGGTCCATCCATTAATCACCTCGCTTCCCAGTCAGGGAACCAAGAAATGTAGCAGGACAAGCCACAGACAAAACCCCTCAGACACCAAGTTAAAGAAGGAAGGGCTTTATTCAGCTGGGAGCTTCAGCAAGACTCACGTCTCCAAAAACCAAGCTCCCCGAGTGAGCAGTTCCTGTCCTTTTAAGGGCTTACAACTGTAAGGGGTTCAGTGTGAGAGGGTCATGATCAACTGAGCAAGCAGGGGGTATGTGACTGGGGGCTGAATGCACCATTAATCAGAATGGAACAGAACAAGACAGGGATTTTCACAATGCTTTTCCATACAATGTCTGGAATCTATAGATAACATAACCAGTTAGGTCAGGCGTCATACTTTAACCAGGCCCAGGGCACGGCGCTGGGCTGTCTGCCTGTAGATTTCATTTCTGCCTTTTAGTTTTTACTTCTTCTTTCTTTGGAGGCAGAAATTGGGTATAAGACAATATTAGGGGTGGTCTCTTCCCTTAATAATTATAAAGGAATCAATTCAACAAGAAGAGCTACCTATCCTAAATATATAGGCATTCAATACAGGTGCACACAGATTCATGAAACAAGTTCTTGGAGACCTACAAAGAGACTTAGACTTCCATACAATAATACAGGGAGACATTACCACCCCACTATCAATATTAGATCAATGAGAAAGAAAATTAATAAGAATATTCAGGACTTAAACACAGCTCTGGATCAAGTGGACCTGATAGATATTTACAGAACTCTCCACCCCAAAACAACAGAATATACATTGTTCTCAGTGCCACATGGAACTTACTCTAAAATTGATTGTATAATTGGAAGTAAAACACTCTTCAGAAAATGTAAAAGGACTCAAATTATATGATACTGTCTCTCAGACCACAGTGCAATCAAATTAAAACTCAAGATTAAGAAACTCACTCAAAACTACACAACTACATGCGAATTGGACAACCTGCTTCTGAATGACTTCTGGGTAAATAATGAAATTAAGGCAGAAATCACGAAGTTCTTTAAAGTCAATGAGAACAAAAAAACAATGTACCAGAATCTCTGGGATGCAGCTACAGCAGTGTTAAGAGGGAAATTTATAGCACTAAATGCTTACATTAGAAAGCTAGAAAGATCTCAAATCAACACCCTAACATTACAACTAAAAGAACTAGAGAGGCAAAAGCAAATAAATTTAAAAGCTAGCAGAGGATAAGAAATGACTAAGATCAGAGCAAAACTGAGGAAGATAGGGAGATAGAGACACAAAAAACCTTCAAAAGATCAATGAATTCAGGAGCTGGATTTTTGTTTTGTTTTGTTTTGTTTTGCTTTGTTTTGTTTTGTTTTTTGAGACGGAGTCTCACACTTGTTGCCCGGGCTGCAGTGCAGTGGCAAGATCTTGGCTCACTGCAACCTTGGCCTCCTGGGTTCAAATGATTCTCCTGCCTCAGCCTCCTGAGTAGCTGGGATTACAGGTATGCACCACCAAGCTTGGCTAATTTTTATATTTTTAGGAGAGACGGGGTTTCACTCTGTTGGGCAGGCTGGTCTCGAACTCCTGACTTCAGTTGATCTGCCTCTCAAAATGCTGGGATTACAGGCATGAGCCACCATGGCTGGCCCAGGAGCTGGCTCTTTTGAAGAAATTAATAAAATACATAGACCACTAGCTAGACTAATAAAGAATAAAAGAGAGAAGAATCAAACCCAATAAAAAATGATAAATAGGATATCACCAGTGACCCCACAAAAGTATAAACTACTAACAGAGAATACTATAAACACCTCTATGCAAATAAACTAAAAAATCTAGAAGAAATGGATCAATTTCTGGACACATAAACCCTCCCAAGACTAAACCAGGAAGAAGTCAAATCCTTGAAAAGACCAACTAAGTTCTGAAATTTAGGCAGTAATAAATAGCCTACCAACCAAAAAAACACACACAAAAAGCCCAGAACCAGATGGACTAATGGTTGAATTCTACCAGAGGTAAAAAAAGGAGCTGGTGAAGCAGCATTGTTGTCTGGGGTAAATACCCAGGGTTCATCATCTAATGCTGAGAAGGTTAATGACACAGACACACACACTTGGAGTGTGTTTAAAGAGCAGAAAGTTTAATAGATGAAAGAAAGAAGAAAGAGAGGGAGAGAGAGAGCTTTCTCATGCAGAGAAAGTGGGGCACCCAAGGTTTCCAGGATGCAATTGACTTTTAAAAGAGGCTTGAAGAGGGGGTGATTGATTTACATAGGGTTCAAAAGATTGGTTTGACCGGGTGTACCATTTACATAACCTGCAAAAAAACTTGCCTTCCCACCCCAATCTTTTATTATGCAAATGTGGCCTCTACCTGGCTGGATCCATGACAACTGCACACGAGGGGACAAAGAAAAGGAAGGGGGAATTGCCATATTGGGTGGACCTGGCTTTCAGTACAGCTGCCCACGTTCATCTATGCAGGGTTCTAGCTTGCTTATCTATGCTTGTAGCTTGACTTTTCAGGCTGCTTTATGTTAGAAAAGAGATGGTTTTTGGCTGATTTCTATTAAAGAAAAATTTCACTGAGAACATTTTTACACTTGCTAAGTGACTAAAATAATTTCCTAATAACTGCTATATTACTGGTACCATTTCTTCTGGAACTATTCCAAAGAATTAAAAAGGAGAGACTCTCCTCCCTTCTCGTTTTATGAGGCCAGCATCACCCTGATGCCAAAACCTGGCAGAGACACAACAAAAAAAGAAAACTTCAGGCCAATATCTCTGAAGAACATTGATGTGAATATCCTCAATAAAATACTGGCAAACCAAATCCAGCAGCACATCAAAAAGCTTATCCACTACAAACTAGTCGGCCTCATCACTGGGATGCAAAACTCATTTAACATACACAAATCAATAAATGTAAGCTATCACATAAACAGAACCAATGACAAAAACCACATGATTATCTCAATAGATGCAGTAAAAGTCTTCAGTAAGGGCTGGGCATGATGGCTCACGTCTGTAATCCTAGCAATTTGGGAAGCCGAAATGGGTGGATCATGAGGTCAGGAGTTCGAGACCAGCCTGACCAATATGGTGAAACCCCATCTCTACTGAGAATACAAACATTAGCCAGGGGTGGTGGTGTGCACCTGTAATCCTGGTTACTTGGGAGGCTGAGGCAGGAGAATCACTTGAACCCAGGAGGTGGAGGTTGTGGTGAGCTGAGATTGTGCCACTGCACTTTAGCCTGGGTGACAGAGCAAGACTCCCTCTCAAAAAAATAAAATAATAATACTAATAATAAAGTCTTCAATAAAATTTAACATTCCTTGGCTGGGCGCGGTGGCTCACACCTGTAATCCCGTAATCCCAGCACTTTGGGAGGCTGGGGCAGGTGGATCACGAGGTCAGGAGTTTGAGACCAGTCTGATCAACATGGTGAAACCCCATCTCTACTAAAAATACAAAAATTAGCCAGGCATGGCGGTGGGGGCCTGTAATCCCAGCTACTCTGGAGGCTACTCTGAGGCTGATGCAAGAGAATCCCTTGAACCCAAAAAGCAGAGGTTGCAGTGGGTTGAGACCATGCCACTGCATTCCAGCCTGGGTAACAGAGTGAGACTCTGTCTCAAACAAACAAACAAAATTCAACATCCCTTCATGTTAACAACTCTCAATAAACTAAGTATTGAAAAATCATACCTCAAAATAATAAGAGCTATTTATGACAAACCCGCAGCCAATATCATACTGAATGGGCAAAACCTGGAAGAATTCTGGAAAATCAGCACTAGACAAAATGCCCTCTCTCACCACTCCTATTCAACGTAGTATTTTAAGTTCTGACCAGAAAAATCAGGTCAAAGAAAGAAATAAAGGGTATTCAAATAGGAAGAGAGGAAGTCACATTGTCTCTGCAGATGACATGATGCTATATCTAGAAAATCCCATTGTCTCAGCCCAAAAGCTCCTTAAGCTAATAAGCAACTTCAGCAAAGTCTCTAGATACAAAATCAATGTGGAAAAATCACAAGTACCAACAATAAACAAGCAGATTGTGAAATCATGCATGAACTCCCATTCACAATTGCTACAAAGAAAATAAAATACCTAGGAATACAGCTAACAAGGGATGTGAAGGACCTCTTCAAAAAGGACTACAAACTACTGCTCAAAGAAATAAGAGAGGACAAAAACAAATGGAAAAAATTTCATCCTCATGGATAGGAAGAAGCAATATTATGAAAATGGCTGTACTTCCCAAAGTAATTTATACATTCAGTGCTATTCCCATCAAACTACCACTGATGTTCTTCACAGAACTAGGAAAAACTACTTTAATATTCATGTGGAACCAAAAAAGAGCCTGTATAGCCAAGAAAATTCTAAGTGAAAAGAACAACGCTAGAGGCATCATGCTACTTGACTTCAAACTATACAACAAGGCTATAGTAACCAAAGCAGCATGGTACTGGTAAAAAGAAAAACAGACACATTGACCAGTGAAACAAAATAGAGACCTCAGAAATAAGACCACACGTCTACAACCATGTGGTATTTGACAAACCTGATAGAAACAAGCAATGGGGAAAATATTCCCTATTTAATAAATGATGCTGGAAAAAAATAAAGTCAGAAAAACTAACCTTCTCTCTTTCTGGTCATATTATCTATATCTTATTTAGTCATTTTTATTTATTTCAATTGCTTTCAATTTTAGTATTTGCTTTGGAAATTACTTTTTTAATATGTATAACATTTTCTTGGAGTCTATTTATGGACATCAATGCTATTTTTCATATTTTGATATACAAAATAAAACATCAATGTGGATGTGATGGCACCTGCCTGTAATTCCAGCATTTTGGGAGGCTAAGGTGGGAGGATTACTTTAGCTCAGGAGTTCGAGACCAGCCTGGTCTACATAGTGTGACCTCACCTCTAAAAATAACAGTAATAAATTAGCTGAGCATGGTAGCACATGAGTGGGGTCCCAGATACTCAGAAGGCTGAGATGAGAAAACTGCTTGAGCCCAGATGGTTGAGGCTGCAGTGAGCTGCAGTCATGCCACTGCATTCCTGCCTGGCTGAGAGAGAATCTTTCTTAAAAGAAAGAAAGAAAAAGAAGGCCAAGGTAGGTGGATTACTTGAGGTTAGGAGTTTGAGACCAGCCTGGCCAACATGACAAAACCCTGTTTCTGCTAAAAATACAAAAATTAGCTGGGCATGGTGGCATTTGCCTGTAACACCAGGTTCTCGGTAGGCTGAGGCATGAGAATCGCTTGAACTCGAAAGGCAGATGTTGCAGCGAGTGGAGATTGTGCCATAGGACTCCAGCCTGGGCAGCAGAGCAACACCTTGTCTCAGAAAAAAAGAAAAGAAAGAAAGAAAGAAAAAGAAAACCACAGAGAATAAACTATAATTTTTTTTTAATGTTTGTAAAGCTCTAATTGCATAGCAGATTTCTGGAAGTCAGTTTCCAGAATCCAAGGCTAATCCCTAAGCATTTTATACATTTCTTTCTGCATTGATTATAAAATTCAGGTTTCCCAACAGAAATGGAAAAAAATAAAGCATGAATAACAATGAGATAGCACACAATTATGATAATGGCAATCATGAAAAGAAAAATTTCAAAGACCGTCAATGAAAATTTGGATTAAATAGATCTAGAAATATGAAATGGTAGAGTAGCTTTGGAAAATAGTTTAGTGGCTTATTATAAAGTTGAGTATACACTTATTATGTTACCAAGACATCCCACTGCTAGGTCATTACTAAAGTAAACTGAAAACTAATGCTGAAATGAAACTTTTTATGGATGTCTATTGCTCACTTTATTTGTAATTGCAAAAAGCTAGATGTAAACTAGATGCTTTTCAACAGGTGAATGAATAAACAAACCAGTGCATACCTACAATAGAATCCTAGTTGTCAATAAAAAAAAAAACTATTGATCGACATCACAGTATAGATGAGTCACAAATGCATTTCTTTAATTGAAGAAAGTAAAATCCAGTTTACAGATTATATAATCCAAGTATATGGCATTGTAGAAAAATAAAATTATAAGGATTGATAATAATCAGTCCAGGCTTGATGGCTCAAGTGTATAATCTCAGCACTTTGGGAGGCTGAGGTGAGAGGACTGTTTGAGCCCAGGATTTTGAGAACAGACTGGGCAACATAGAAAGACCTTCCTACAAAAGAAGAAGAATAAAAAGAGAATAATCACTGATTGCCAAAGAATAGATGAGGGTAGACTTAACTACAAATAGGAGGCATCGGATAATTTTGGGGGCAATGAAACAGTTCTGTGTGGTACTGTGAAGATGGCTATGTGACTCTAGACAGTTTTCAAAACCTATGGAACTGTACATCACAAAGAATAAATTTTCCTCTCTGAAAATTAGAAAAAACAAGGATTGGGGGAAAATTCAGATAAAATGCAGGGAGTAAAAAGAAGAGTTCACCCTTACTAGAAATGTATCACCTAACCCTATTGAAGAAGGTTGGAATGAAAGGACTTGGTGTAAATCACTTTGAATAACACTATTTTGATTAAATACTGCAAGACTCAAGAACTGAACACAAACATTGTGTTCTGGTATGTATTGCTTGTCTATAAGCATATAGACTAGCAATTTTTAAAAGCACTCTATATGTTAGTATGTATATATATATATATATATATACATAAATAAATATAATTAGTGCCTGCATCTCTCTGAAGTTGAAAAAAAAGAGAATTCTAGAATGGAGTTGAGAATATTTTGATAAATGCATGTATCATAACATATCTATTGAGAGAGACAGAAAGAGAGAGATGTGTTCATACAGGAGTCAATATTAATATGTACCTTTCCAAACTCTGTTTGCTGAGAGGTTGCAGAAGCAGTGACACCCCAATATTAATGGGCACACCTAGCTCTCATATCATGGTTTCTAAGTACTATTCTTCAACAAAAAAAGCAAGACTACTTGTAATAATAGACAATTCTAGCACTGGAGTGGAAAATCCAAGTTAAGGTAGAGTATTGTTAAGCTAAAAAGTTTAAAGTGCTTTATGAACAACAGAAGCAGCCATGTCAGAGAAAGTCAACCTGAAAGACTTCCCAGGAGCCCAAGCTGGAAAAATGTGAAAAACACAATAAACATTATTAGCATTGGATTAACACCCAGAGAATTAAAAAAAAATCCATGAATCCATAAAGATAGAGAAAAATACAAATAAGAAAAAAAGAAGGCCAGTCGCCGTGGTTCATGCCTGTAATCTCAGCACTTTGGGAGGCTAAGGAGGGTGGATCACCTGAGGTTGGGAGTTCAAGACCAGCCTGACCAACTTGAATAAACCCCGTCTCTACCAAAAATGCAAAATTAGCCGGGCGTGGTGGTGTATGCCTGTAATCCCACCTACTTGGGAGTCTGAGGCAGGAGAATCATTTGAACCTGGGAGGTGGAGGTTGCAGTGAGCTGAGATCACGACATTAAACTCCAGCCTGGACAACAAGAATGAAATTCCATCTCAAAAAGAGAAAGAGAGAAAGAGAAAGAGAAAGAAAGAAAGAAAGAAAGAAAGAAAGAAAGAAAGAAAGAAAGAAAGAAAGCAGTAGAAAAAAGAAAAAAATTTTCTTTAGAAAATTCCAAGTATACTAATCAATGTAGAAGATAATGCAAAATAGAAAATCACCACTAAGACACCACAGTAATAATTACTGTAGACAAGATGTACTTAAAAATGCAAACATTGTGGATAAAATTTAAAGGAGAAACAGTGTTTCTGTTAGCCCCAAAGTATCTGCCTCAAATATTTATAAATAGCCCCAAAGTAATAGCCCCAAAGTATCTACCTCCAAATATTTATAAATACTATTTCCTCTCAATTTCTTTATAAGACTTATGACTAAGGAAAAATTATAACACAGTATTGTGAGATATATGTGTAGATGTAAAATATATGAATAGCACAAACAATAGAAGGAAGTAATTGTAACTCTTCAACAGCAAGGTTTTCATATTTTACATTTATTAAAATAGTACAGTATAAACTCTAGGTAGATTGTGATATGTTACAAATGCATATAGTTATCCCTGGAGAAACCACTAAGAAATGTAAGGAGGTGTCACTTAAATGCTATTAAAGGAATTTAATTATATACCAAAAAGTATTTGTACAAGAATGTTTATAGAGCTTTTAGTCATAATAGCTTAAAGCAGGGAACAGCCTAAATATCCATCGCTAGAAATATAGATGAACAAATTATATCTCATTCATACAAGAGAATACCACCCAGCCATAGAAAAAAATGAACTACTAAATCACACAACCTGGATATATCTCATAAACCTGCCAGATAAGACAAGCTTGAAATAAAATAATACGTATTGTATGATGTCAAGCAAAATGAACCAATGATTAAAAAGAAAAACACCTCTGGTAGAGAATAAAATCATCTGGAAAAAAGCATGAGGAAATTATCTGATAATTTTTTAAAAATCCATTATTCTGTGGAGTCACTCATGCTAAATGTGATATAAACTAAAAATGTAAGGAAATAGGTGATCCTAAAGCAGTTCGGGTTTTGTTTTCTTCTGTAAACAGCAGATTTTAACACAAGGAGTTCCTTTCTACTGTAATTCTTTTTAAAAATAATAACCTGAAGTCCTTGTTTTTACTTTACAAAACCCACAGTTCTGCTATTTCACAGTGGGATTTGAGACTAAATAAGTATACTTTTGATGGTAACTGATGCTATCAATGTCTAAAGTTTGGGTCTGTCTCTCAAAATTGGGAAGATGACCAAAAAGGAGAAATTATTAAATCAATTATAGCCTAAAGCTGCCTTCTTTTCTGTTTAATTTTTGTCAATAGGTTCTCTGTACATAGCAAACTGAAACCTAACTTGATATGTAAATAGACTGTAACCCACTCTTGTACCAACTACTGTGTTTTTGGCAATAAAAGGACATCAGCTGTTTAAACCATGTTCGAGTAAGGCAAATCTCGAGCTGTAATCAATCTGGCTGTTTCTGTATCTCACCCCCATTTTCTGTATGTCACTTTGCTTTTTCTGTCCATAAATCTTTTTCCACCATGTGGCTATGCTGCAGTCTCTCTGAGCCTACTCTGGCTCCACAGGCTGCCCAATTTGCAAATCATTCTTTGCCCATTTAAACTCTTTAAATTTAATTTTTCTACAGTATTTTCATTTTAAAAGTTTTCCATTTTATTCTATGATGAAAAATAAATAATCTGTTGTTGGCATTTGATTTTCTAAACTTATCCATCACCTACAAATATAAAGTATTCTTTGTCTTTTTAAAATCCTTCTGCAATTTCTTTCTTTCTTTTTCTTTCTTTTTTTCTGAGACAAGGTCTTACTCTATCACCCAGGCTGGAGTGCAGTGGTGTATCCAAACATGGCTCACTGCAGCTTGACCTTCCAGGCTGAAGTGATCCTTCTGCTTCTGCATCTGCCACCTGAGTAGCTGGGGTTACAGGCATGCACCACCATGTCTGGCTAATTTTTAAATTTTTATTCATGAAGACAGATTCTTACTATGTTGGCTGAACTTGAACTCGAGCTCACGTTATTCTCCCATGTCAGCCTCCCAAAATGCTAGGATTACAGGTGTGAGCCACTGTGCACTTCTGCAAATTCTTGACAGGATTATTCCCAATGATAAACAGTACTATATTGGCACAAATGTAAAAGGAATGTAGGCTGGCTGCAGTGGCTCACGCTAGTAATCCCAGAACCCTGGGAGGCCGAGGCAGGCAGATTACTTGAGGTCAGGAGTTTGAGATCAGCCTGGCCAACATGGTGAAACCTGTCTTTACTAAAAATACAAAAATGAGTCAGGTGTGATGGCAAGCACCTGAAATCCCAGCTACTTGAAAGGCTGTGGCAGGAGAATTAATTGAACATGGGAGGAGGATGTTACACTGAGCCAAAATTACACTACTGCACTCCGGCCTGGGTGACAGAGTGAGACCCCATCTCAAAAGAAGTTAAATAGATTAATAAAACTAAAATAAAAGGAATCTGGCCTCTATCGTAGAAGTGTCACTCTCCAGGATTTCAAGGGTCTAGGGCAGCTACTTTAGTAGTGTCATCTATGGAGGTGGATGGGCTTTGGAGTCTGACAGAGTTGATCCTGAGTCTCAGCCCAGCCACTTAGTAGCTGTGTGTCTTTGGACAAGATTCTTGATGTGAAAGAGTTCTATAAACCACATATGCAAAATAAAAAAAAAAAAAGCAGAATGACACTGATTTCAAAAATGGTAGCAATTTCTAGTTTTTTCTGTATCCATGCCCATTGCCAGGTGCTTTTAAAGCTGTTCCCATCAAGATCCAGGATGTTTTCCAAACCCTAGATTTTGCTGGCCTTATTCACTCAGGGCAGTAGAAACCTGTGAACATGACAATGTAACAGTTTGAGGCCTAGGCTCATGTGGGGAAAAGCAAGAGAGATCAGATTGTCACTGTGTCTGTGTAGAAAGAAATAGACATGGGAGACTCCATTTTGTTATGTACTAAGAAAAATTCTTCTGCCTTGAGAGTCTGTGACCTTACCCCCAACCCCGTGCTCTCTGAAACATGTGCTGTGTCAAACTCAGGGTTAAATGGATTAAGGGCGGTGCAAGATGTGCTTTGTTAAACAGATGCTTGGAGTCATCACCACTCCCTAATCTCAAGTACCCAGGGACACAAACACTGCGGAAGGCCGCAGGGACCTCTGCCTAGGAAAGCCAGGTATTGTCCAAGGTTTCTCCCCATGTGATAGTCTGAAATATGGCCTCGTGGGAAGGGAAAGACCTGACCATCCCCCAGCCCGACACCCGTAAAGGGTCTGTGCTGAGGAGGATTAGTACAAGAGGAAGGCACGCCTCTTGCAGTTGAGACAAGAGGAAGGCATCTGTCTCCTGCCCGTCCCTGGGCAATGGAATGTCTCGGTATAAAACCCGATTGTACATTCCATCTACTGAGATAGGGAAAAACCACCTTAGGGCTGGAGGTGGGACATGCGGGCAGCAATACTGCTTTGTAAAGCATTGAGATGTTTATGTGTATGCATATCTAAAAGCACAGCACTTAATCCTTTACCTTGTCTATGATGCAAAGACCTTTGTTCACGTGTTTGTCTGCTGACCCTCTCCCCACAATTGTCTTGTGACCCTGACACATCCCCCTCTCGGAGAAACACCCACGAATGATCAATAAATACTAAGGGAACTCAGAGGCTGGCGGGATCCTCCATATGCTGAACACTGGTTCCCCGGGTCCCCTTATTTCTTTCTCTATACTTTGTCTCTGTGTCTTTTTCTTTCCTAAGTCTCTCATTCCACCTTACGAGAAACACCCACAGGTGTGGAGGGGCAACCCACCCCTTCAGCTCAAAAGGTCTTGAATGCTTCTGTTTTTCTTTCAGAATGCTACCATTTCCATGAAAAATGGCCGATGTTAGCAAGCTGGAGGATAAGATACCATGGGGAGGAGAAGCAAGGTGCCCCTGTTGACAGCCCCAGAAGCAGAAGCTCATCCCCAGAAGCACAGCTGCCTATTCAACAAACAGCTGAAGATACATGTCTGGAGGAGCTCAGCTGAGACAAAAAGAACAGCCTCACTGAGCCCAGCCTAAATAGCTGACCATCTCAATTATGGGCAAATAAGTTTTGAATGATTTGTTATGCTGCAATAGCTAATTAATACATGCACCCAGTGCAGACAGGATGCCAGGATTCATTGACAAGTTGATTACTAGTTCTCTTCTAACAGTGGGCACCCTATAGGTACTGATTTTTCCCCCTGATTTGAAGTTGGATGCCAAGTAAGAGAATGCTGAGTAATGCAGAAATATATATGGATATGTATGCATGTAATTGGTGCCTATACTCACACAGTCCCCCATACCACAGGAGAAAACAGATAACCACGGCCTGACATTAGGGCCAAGGACAAATAGAAAAGTAAGTTTGCCTTTAATCTGTTTTCTTCATATCTAAACATTGGAGGTCAAGACTGTGCACAGGTTTGAAGACATAGAGATTTCTTCTCCTGTGGCCTTATCATCCTTTGTTCACCTTCTGATCTCTGGAAGAAAGGTGGAAAATGGGTGGCCAGCAGTGGTCTACCTGTGGTTGTTTTTTTCTTGCTGTCCTCTGATTTTTCTATGGCTACTATCTGTTCCTCCCTCAGAGCTGAAGAGAAATGTTGGTAGGGAAAGGCTCTTTTTTCAGCTTTGGCAGAAAAGTTTTTTCAGGCCCTTCGCTCCCGAGGTCAGAGCTGCACTTCAATGTGGCAGCTACTGGCCATGTGTGGCGACTGAGTGCCTGGAATGTGGCTGGTCTAAACTGTGATATGCTGGAAAGGTAAAATACAGAGTTAGTTTCAAAGATGAAGTTCCAAAAAATATCTACACTTCATTTATAATTTACATTTTGCTTACATATTAAAATGATAATATTTTGGATATACTGGTTTAATTAAATTGCTACAATAAATACCGCATTTTTTGTTTGTTTTTCTTTTTAAAGTTTGGCTACTAGAAAATTTAAAATTCACATGTAGCTCACATTTTATTTCAGAGGATTGCCTTCTTTTTAAAATCTCAGGCAATCTGATGGAAAAAACAGAAGTCAGGGAGGTCATAAAATCAGAAATTTTTAGATAATTTTTATTATATTCTTTTCATTTGTGTATAACCATATAATACATTATTTACGAAAGAATATGACCTTATACAAAAGGTTAAATGCAAATACCCTCTGGGGTTGGCCTGGCTTACTTAGCTCAGGGAAGAAGCCCTGCCTGAAAAGGCTGCAGCCTAGACTGTCACTCTTTACTTTTTTTTGGGGGGGGGGGCGGGGGACAGACTGTCTCTCTGTCAACCAGGCTGGAGTGCAGTGGTGCGATCTCGGCTCACTGCAACCTCTGCCTCCCGAGTTCAAGTGATTCTCGTGCCTCAGCCTCCGGAGTAGCTGGGATTACAGGCGCCCGCCACCACGCCTGGCTAATTTTTATTTTTAGTAGAGACGAGGTTTTGCCATGTTGTCCAGGCTGGTCTCCAACTCCTGACCTCTGGTGATCCACCCGCTTGGGCTTCCCTCCCAAAGTGCTGGGATTGCAGGCGCGAGCCACCGCGCGGCCTATCAGTCTTCATTCTGTCCAGCATCTGATCACATCTTTTGTCACTCAGGATCTGAGGAGGCGGGGATTTAAGAATTATCCAATCAGGGACTCTGGGCTAGGAACCGTCCAATCAGGCATGCAGCTGGAGCGGAAAAGGCGGCATCCGAGATGTGGCGGGGCCGTTGTTTCTGGTTGCAGCCGCAGTTCCCGGTCTCGCCTTCACTGCTGTGTGTCCTCAGCCTCTGTGGCCCTGTAACCTGCGGCATTGGAAGATCCACAGCTAACATGCCAGGTGCCCCTGGCAGCCTAGAAATGGTGAGAGTGCCGGGTCCGACATCCCGAGAAGGGGAAGGGGCTGATTGGAACCGGTGGGAAGTGGCTGTGGCGGGACTCCGGCCTCCCCGCAGTCAGCTCCACAATCTGCGCCTGGAGTTCTTTCCCATCTCGGCCTCAGTCTCCTTCAGCCATAAGATGGCGAATGCGCTGACTGCGGGACCCTGGGCGACCTGTCTCCTCCATGCGCTGTGACTGTGCCCTGGCCTGGAGCCCTCTCTGGGCCGCTCTGCACCCGCATGGCCGCGTCTCTCCGAGATTGTGCAGGGACCACGGGAGGGGCGTCAGGGGAGAATCCTGACTCCGGATGCGGGTTCATGAATGGGAAGAGCTTTGGTCCAGTGAGGTTTCCAGTCCCTCTTTTCTTCTGTTAAAAATTTATGGCGGTCACCACTAAAGTAATAAATAATTTAATCAAAGTGATTCAAAAATTGTAGAGCACCCAGCTATGGTTTGTAGTTTATGGTCTATGGAAGGGATTTGACGGAAAGATTTTTTTAAGGTGCACAATGAAGAAAACCAAATTCAGTAATTGGTTATGTACAGTTACGTAGTTTCTCAGTTTGTACAATCAAGATGGAAATTTCCCGTTTATATAATCAGAGGTTAATTGTAGTTTATAGTTGGTTAAGCCTGAGTTTTGTTTCCCCCAATGTATAATTTACAAAAAAAAAAATGCACTTGAATTAGATTTTTTTTTTTCTTTTTTTGAGACGGAGTTTTGCTCTTGTTGCCCAGGCTGGAGTGCAATAGCGCGATCTCCTCTCGGTGCAACCTCCGCCTCCCGGGTTCAAGCGATTCTCCTACCTCAGCTTCCTGAGTAGCTGGGATTACAGGCATGTGCCACCACGCCGGGCTAATTTTGTATTTTTAGTAGAGACGGGGGTTTCTCCATTTTGGTCAGGCTGGTCTCGAACTCCCGACCTCAGGTGATCCGTCCTCCTCGGCCTCCTAAAGTGCTGGGTTTACAGGTGTGAGCCGCTGCGCTCGGCCGAATTAGATTTTTTAAAAAGTAGATATCAGGGACTAGAGCCACCTCAGTCTAATTGCCTGCCACTTAATTATTCTTAATTATTTTCACACTCCTCGGAGGACTGATTTTTTTTTTTTTCCCTTGCATTTTTTACAGGTATCCCAAGGAGAGTATTATGTGTACTCCCAAACCCCCATTCCTGCAGCCTATCTCTGGCTTGCAGTAAAATATAAAATTTCCAGTTCATTGTTACCTTCCCAAATGTCAATTTTTTCCTCTCTGATTCACATTACTATTTGTCCTTTTTTTTTTTTTTTGAGATGGAGTCTCGCTCTGTTGCCCAACCTGGAGTGTGGTGTCCTGATCTTGGCTCACCACAACCTCCGCCTTCCGGGTTCAAGCAATTCTCCTGCCTCAACCTCCTGAGTAGCTGGGACTACAGGCATGTGCCACCATGCCTGGCTACTTTTTGTATTTTTAGTAGAGACAGAGTTTCACTATGTTGGCCAGGCTGGTCTCGAACTCCTGACCTTGTGATCTGCTCGCCTCAGCTTCCCAAAGTGCTGGGATTACAGGCGTGAGTCACCGTGCCCAGCCTACTATTTGTCCTTTAGTGTACATTTTTGATACCATGTTTTAATTATTTTTTAACAAAGCATTGGATGGCACTTTTCCTAATATTTGTTTTCTGTTTGTAAATATTTCCTATGAGAAGAAAGCAAAAAATTATCCCCTGACACTGCGTTGTAAAAAGTCTTTGTACTGTTTTTTTTTTTTTTTTTCCTCCTAGGCCCACAGATTTTATCAGAATGTTTCGGGGGTAAATGTTTTCCTTTGGAAACTTTATGGAGTGATGTGTTTTCAGCCATTCTTCAGATTTTTTTCCTGGTCCTGGGTTTCAGTACTGTCTGGGAATTAACTAAAATACCCCCCATGGCTATGTCTGCTAGAGTGTCTAGTGAATATCAGCTCCTGGTCATTTTCTCCCATGGGACAATCTGAGGTATGGAGTGTAGCCTTTCAGGGAAGCAGGCGGATGCCCTGGAATTGAGAGGAATCTCCTGGCATACTCTTCCTTTGAAAAGCTAACCCTTGAGACATTAAGATTGTCTTCACCCAACCCAGCTTCCAATTATTGAAGACCCAACCCAGCTTCCATTTCTTGCTGGTCAGCCAATCAGTTGCTGGTATTGCGGGAAAAAGCATTGAAATAATTTCTGCCCCCTGCATTCTCTAAGGGGGCAAAACAATAGGGAAAGAAATATAATGAAAAAATAGTGAAAGAAAAATAGTGCGAATCTTTGAAATCAAAAATAATATCCCAAAAGAAAAAAAAACAGTGATCCAGTGAGATGGTGTAAGAACTTGCAAAGTAAAATACATCTGGGGCACTCACTGGGGCTTAATTCAGAGTCTCCTGAGAAGGGGTTATTGGGCACTTAAGTGAGCAGAATGGAGTGGGAGAATCTCTCAAGTGATTGGATGGCCTGATTGAAACATGAGTCAGACACATCTGTACCTTGAAAAGATTTGGTCGCTTATTTTGACCTCAGTTTTTTAACTGTGAATTGCATTTTGTTAGTAGGGATTGAAAGAAAGATAAGAAAATATTTACCAAGGGCAAAAAAGAGATGGATTTCAGAATAAAATTAATATTTAATTATATATTCCATTTGTTAATTTTTTTTTTTTTTTTTGAGACCAAGTCTCACTCTGTCGCCCAGACTGGAGTGCAGTGGCGCAATCTCTGCTCACTGCAACCTCCATCTCCCAGGTTCAAGTGATTCTTCTGCCTCAGCCTCCTGACTAGCTGGGACTACAGGCGCCCGCCACCACACCCGGCTAATTTTTTGTATTTTTAATAGAGATGGGGTTTCACCGTGTTAGCCAGGATGGTCTCGATCTCCTGACCTTATGATCCACCCGCCTCAGCCTCCCAAAGTGCTGGTATTACAGGTGTGAGCCACTGCGCCCGGCAAAAATTTGTATTTACCCTTTTCTCAGAATGAGTTTAGGAATTTTCTCTGGTTTGTTTTTTATGGCTGGGTGTTTTTAAACAATTTCAAGGCTTAACTTTTAGAATGCTACCAGGGAAAAAAATAGGAAAAATCTCTCTTCCATTTTGGCTTCAGAAAATGCACACATTTCCACAAGAAAATATGGTAGGTAATTGGTGAGTTATGTAGATTCATGAAAACATCAGTTCCTCTTTTTGCAGGGTAAATTTGTAACCGTGAATATCTCTATTCTATATCCTGTTATATTGCTGTCTGAGTTTCATGCTAAATTTTATGAGCTGAAACTTTGTACCCTCTAGAAGTGTTCCCATATGACTGTTTACTACATGATTTTTAATGGAAATAGTAAAATAATATTTATTGTCTGAAAGGAATAGATACTTTTGCTTATCTTACTGAGACATAAAATGTAAGCACCTTAAAATTTTCTTCCCTTACATGTACACTGTGTTAGAGTAATTCTGCTGAATTTTTCAAACACTTACTTTCAAAAACCACATGAATAACTCTGACATGAAAATTAAAGCCTGAGCCTAGTGACTCTAAGCTAAGGCTAATACTGAGCCTGCAAAAGGAAGTTATTAAAGGACCACTTAGTTTTTTCTGGGGAGTCTTCTCTGCAGATATTCCAGCCTGCTCACCCCAGCCATGGAAGACGCCTTTATCCTGAGAGAAACTACATAGCCTTGGAAAGTTGGGGACCCACAGCCAGATGCAGTTAAGGTTAAGATGAAAGGGGATTGGGAGGGTCTTACTGAAGATGAAATTGTTATTGTTTTGTGGTAGTTTCTAGACTTTGTAAAGTAAAACAAAGTTAGATTTATGTTGGAAAAAGAATTGAATTCCAAAAGAGTATTGCAAGAGGACGAAGTACCAACTCTGAGATCTTCAAGGATTGCAAAGTTTAGGCAGACAAGGGCCTTGTTTCATATGGAAGAGCAAACAGTATTAGGAGGTGGGAGGGGATGGCAAATGGAGGGTGAAAGAATGAGATTTTAGATCAGAGAATGTTTTACCCTGAAGTCATCATGTTCTTAGGAACTACATAAAATGGGGTTGTATGTTGACTCAGACTGAGGGTAGCTTAAAGTTCAGAAAGCTGTTGAAAGGAAATAAACTTAAGTAATGTTTGATTAAGAAGTATTCTAGGTTGACCACTGAAAACAAATTCAGCTGATTTATTTATTTTTTTTAATGAGAAAAAAGAGACAGTGTGCAGAGTCTGTGTCTGGCTATGTGACAGGTAAGAAAAGAGCACCATCTAAGTCATAATGGGAAGGGTATTTCTTTCTGACTTTTCCTGGATTGTATCTTTTCTAATAAACTGATAAATGTAACTAGGTTGTTTTCCTGAGTTCTGTGAGTAGCTGTATAATATTATTGAACTTGAAGAAGGTTATGAGAGTCCCCAGTTTTTAAACGGTAGCTCAGAAACAGATGGGTCTATGGGGTTTGTGACTGGCATCTGCAGTAAGAACAATGTTGTGAGACTGAGCCCTGAATCAGGGTCTGTGCTGACTCTGGGTGGTGTCAGAATTCAAATGTTAGGCAATGAGTTGGTGTTGGAGAATTGCTTGGTGTTTACCAAGCTCTACAAATTTGGTTCCAGATAAAAGATATCACAGAGGCCTGGTCTGGAATGGATCTCTGGGTGTCTGGGAATGGGAGGCTCTGCTTTTCTCTACACAGGCCATCACACTGCCCATTATCCTGTGATTTCAGATCTCCTCCCGGGGTGAGAGAGGATAAAAACTTAGAGTAAAAAAGTTCTGATAACAGACCCCCTTTTTCCACTGCTGCCACCACAGGATTCCCACCTTCTTACAAACATATCCACTAGACATTGACTTGTCCACACCCCTCGTAGGAATAGGTACCACCCCCAGCAATTTCACTACGGCATTTTTGATCCTAGCGTTTCTTGCCAAAAACTCACAAAAGTGTCTACAAGTCTCCTGGCATATCCCAACCCCCAGACACTGAATCTGCAGCAGCAACCTGTTTTCTCCACCAACCTGGGGTTCTGGACAACCTGTTCATAATCTCATCTGCCTGCATGGACCCAGAAATTAATCAGAGTAGAGTCACACCTGGGCCACTATCTGTAGCACAAACCAGTCCTTCCACCTGCATTGCCCTCTCCCCAACCCATAAAGTTCTTTTATGTTTTGTTTTTGTTTTTGTTTTTGAGACAGTTTCATTCTTGTTGCCCAGGCTAGAGTGCAGTGGCACGATCTCGGCTCACTGCAACCTCAGCCTTCTGGTTTCAAGCAATTCTCCTGCCTCAGCCTCCTGAGAAGCTGGGACTACAGGTGGCTGCCACCACGCCCCGCTAATTTTTGTATTTTTAGTAGAGACAGAGTTTCACCGTGTTGGCCAGGATGGTCTCAAACTCCTGATCTCGTGATCCGCCCACCTCAGCCTCTCAAAGTGCTGGGATTACAGGCGTGAGCCACTGTGCCCAGCCAGCGAGTTTTTTGTTTTAACTTTTATTTTTGATTCAGGGGTACATGTGCAGGTTTGTTACATAGGTGAAATTGTGTCGGGGGGTTGGTGTGCAGATTATTTTGTCATTGAGGTATTAAGCACAGCACCACACAGGTATTATTTTTCTGATCCTCTTTGTCCTCCATCCTCCACCCTTAACTAGAACTCAGTGTCTGTTGTTCCCCTCTTTGTGTCCATGTGTTATTATTTAGCTCTTACTAATAAATGAGAACATGCATTTGGTTTTCTCTTTCTGCATTAGTTTTGTAAGGATAATGGTCTCCAGCTCCATCCATGTTGCTGCAAATGACATAATCTTGTTCACTTTTTATGGCAACACAGTATTCCATGATGTTTATGTACCATATTTTGTTTTCATTAAATCTTTTATTTTATTTATTTTTGGAGACTGGGTCTCACTCTGTCACCCAGGCTGGAGTATAGTGGCATGATCTCAGCTTACTGCAGCCTCAACCTCCTGGGCTCAAGCAATTCTTCTACCTCAGCCCCCAAGTAGCTGGGACTACAGGTGTGTGCCACCAAGCCCAGCTAATTTTTCTTGTATTTTTTGTTGAGATGGGGTTTTTCCATGTTGTTTAGGCCTGTCTTGAACTCCTGAGCTCAGGCAATTCACCTGCCTCGGCCTCCCAGAGTGCTGGAACTACAGGCATGAGCCACCACACCTTATCATACCATATTTTCTTTATTTAGTTTACCATTGATAGGCATTTAGGTTGATTCCATGTCTTTGCTATTGTGAATAGTGCCGCAATGAACATGTATGTGCAGGTGTCTTTATGACAGAATAATTTATATTTTATTGGGTATATACCCAATTATGAGGTTGTTGGGTCAAATGGTAATTCTCTTTTTAGTTCTGTGAGGAATTGCCACACTGCTTTTCACAATGGTTGAACTAATTTACACTCATGCCAGCAGCACATAGCCGTTTCTCTGAAACCTTGCCAGCATGTTATTTTTTGACTTTGTAATAACAGCCATTTTGACTGGTGTGAGATGGAATCTGGTTGTGGTTTTTTCTTTGCATTTCTCTAGTGATGAGTATTTTTTTCATATGCTTGTTAGCCACATATATATCTTATTTTGAAAAACATTTGTTCATGTTTTTTGTCTACCTTTTTTTTTATAATTGAGACGAAGTCTCACTCTGTCGCCCAGGCTAAAGTGCAGTGGCATAATCTCAGCAAACGGCAATCTTCACCTCCTGGGTTCAAGCGATTCTCCTGCCTCAGCCTCCTGAGTGGATGGAATTACAGGGACTTGCCACCATGCCCTGCTAATTTTTGTATTTTTAGTAGAGACAAGGTTTAACCTTGTTGGCCAGGCTGGTCTCAAACTCCTGACCTCAAGTGCTCTTTCCTCCTTGGCCTCCCAAGGTGCTGGGATTACAGGCGTGAGCCACCACTCCTAGCCTTTTGTCTATTTTTTTTTTTTTTTTTGAGACAGTTTCGCTCTTGTTTCCCAGGCTGGAGTGCAATGGTGTGATCTCGGCTCACTGCAACCTCCGCCTCCTGGGTTCAAGAGATTCTCCTGCCTCAGCCTCCTGAGTAGCTGGAATTATAGGTGTCCACCACCACACGTGGCTAATTTTTTGTATTTTTAGTAAAGACAGGGTTTCATCATGTTGGCCAGGCTGATCTCAAACTCCTGACCTCAGGTGATCCACCTGTCTTGGCCTCTGAGAGTGCTGGGATTACAGGCATAAGCCACGGAGCCCAGCCACCTTTTGTCTACCTTTTAAGGAGGTCGTTTGTTTGTTTCTTGTAAACTTAAGTTTTTTATGGATTCTGGATATTAGACCTTTGTCAAAAGCATAGTTTGGAAATATTTTATTTTATTCTATAGGTTTTGTGTTTACTCTGTTGATGGTTTCCATTGCTGTGAAGAAGATATTTAGTTTAATTAGGTCCCATTTGTCAATTGTTGCTGTTGCCATTACTTTTGGTATTTTCATCATAAAATCTTTGTTAGTTCCCATGTCTAGAATGGTATTTTCTAGGTTATCTTGAAGGGTTTTTTATAATTTTAAGTTTTACATTTAAGGCTTTAATTCATCTTGAGTTGATTTTTGTATATGATGTAAGGAAGGGGTCCAGTTTCAATTTTCTACACAGTGCTAGGTGTTTATCCCAGCACCATTTATTAAATAGGGAATTCTTCCCACATTCCTCTTGTTAGTTTTGTCAAAGATCAGTTGGTTATAGGCGTGTGGCATTATTTCTGGGCTCTCTATTCTGTTGCATTGGTCTGTGAGTCTGTTTCTTGTACCAGTATTATGCGGCTTTGGTTACAGTAGCCCTATTGTATAGTTTGAAGTCAGGTAATGTAACGCCTCCAGCTTTGTTCTTTTTGCTTAGGATTGCCTTGGCTACTCGGGCTCTTTTTTCCTTCCATATGAATTTTAACATAGTTTTCTATAGTTCTGTTAAGAATGTTTTTGGTAGTTTGATAAGAATAGCATTAAATCATTTCTTTTTTTGGGCATTATGGCCATTTTAATCATTTTGATCTTTTCTACCTATGAGCATAGAATAGTTTTCCATTTATTTGTGTTATCTCGGACTTTTTTTTTTTTTTTCTTTTTCTTTTTTTTTTTTTTTTTGAGTCCGAGTCTCACTCTGTCACCCAGGATGGAGTGCAATGGCACAGTCTTAGCTCACCACAACCTCTGCCTCCTGGGTTCAAGCTATTCTCCTGCCTCAGCCTCCTGAATAGCTGGGATTACAGGTGCCTACCACCATGCCCAGGTAATTTTTGTGTTTTTAGTAGAGATGGAGTTTTACTGTGTTGGCCAGGCTGGTTTCGATCTCCTGACCTCAAATGACCCACCCGGCTCGGCTTCCCAAAGTGCTGAGATTACAGGCATGAGCTACCGTGCCTGGCCGTCTGTGACTCTTTAAGCAGTGTTTTGTGATTCTTGACATAGAGATCTTTCACTTCTCTGGTTAGGTGTACTCCTAGATATTTGTGTGTGTGTGTGTGTGTGTGTGTGTGTGTGTGTCAGTTGTGAAGGGGATTGTGTTTTTGATTTGGCTTTTGGCTTGCATGTTGTTAATATACAGAGATTCTGCCAATTTTTATACATTTATTTTGTATTCTGAAATTTTGCTGAAGTGATTTGTCAGTTTAAAGAGCTTTTCTGCAGAGACTGTAGGGTTTTCTAGATACAGAATTATGTCATCTGCAAACAGGGATAGTTTGACTTCCTTTCTTCCTGTTTGAATGCCTTTCATTTTATCTCTTGTCTGATTGCTCTGGCCAGGACTTCCAATTCTCTTAAATAGGAGCGGTGAGAGAAGGTATGCCAGTTTTCTTTCTTTTTTTTTTTTTTTTTTGAGACAGAGTCGCTCTGTCGCCCAGGCTGGAGTGCAGTGGTGCAATCTTCTCCGCTCACTGCAAGCTCCGCCTCCCGTGTTCACGCCATTCTCCTGCCTCAGCCTCCCGAGTAGCTGGGACTACAGGCGACTACAGGCGCGCACCACTACGCCCGGCTGATTTTTTGTATTTTTACTGGAGACGGGGTTTCACCGTGTTAGCCAGGATGGTCTCGATCTCCTGACCTCGTGATCCGCCCGTCTCGGCCTCCCAAAGTGCTAGGATTACAGGCGTGAGCCACCGCGCCCAGTCGATATGCCAGTTTTCAAAGATAAACGCTTTCAGCTTGTATCCATTCAGTATGTTTACTTTGGGCTTGTCATAGATAACTCATTATTTTGAAGTGTGTACTTTGAATGCCTAGTTTGTTGAGGATTTTAAACATGAAGGCTGATAAATTTTATTGAAATCTTTTTCTGCATCTATTGAGATAATTTTTTTGGTTTTTATCTTTAATTCTCTTTATGTGATGAATAACATTTATTAATTGTTGCATGTTGAACCAACCTTGCATCTCAGGGATAAAGCCTACTTGATCATAGTGGAGTAGCTTCTTGATGTGCTGCTGGATTTGGTTTGCCAGCATTTTGTTGAGGATTTTTTCATCAATGTTTATCAGGAATATTGGCCTGAAGTTTTCTATTTTTTGTTTCATCTCTGCCAGGTTTTGGCATCAGAATGTTGCTGTTTCTATATAACGAGCTAAGGAGGAGTCCCTTCTTCTCAATTTTGGAATAGTTTTAGTAGAATGGTTCAGGCCCTTCGTTTTACGTCTGGTTGAATTCAGCTGTAAATTTGTCTAATCCTGGGCTTTATTTTGGATGGTAGGCTATTTATTACTTATTCAATTTTGGAATTTGTTATTGGTCTATTCAGGAATTTAGTTTCTTTTTTGTTCAGTCTTTGGAGAATGTATTTGTCTAGAAATTTATGTATTTCTATTAGGTTTTTTAGTTTGTGTGCAGACAGGTGTTCATAGTAGACTTCAATAGTTATTTGTATTTTTATGGGGTCAGTGATAATTTCTCTTTTGTCATTAACTGTTTATTTGAATCTTCTCTTTATTCTTCATTAATCTAGCTATTTACCTTATTTATTTATTTCAAAGATTTATCTCGGATTTCTTGTTCTTTTGTATAGTTTTTCATATCTAAATCTTCAGTTCTGATCTTATTTATTTATTTTTTTTGTCTGCTGATAGCTTAGGAGTTGCTTTGCTCTTGCTTCTCTCGTTCTTTTATTTATGATGTTAGGTTGTTAAATTGAGATGTTTTTGATGTGACCATTTAATGCTATTAATTTCCCTGTTAACACTGCCTTAGCTGTGTTGCAGAGATTCTGGTATGTTGTATCTTTGTTTCAAAAACTTTTAAATTTCCACCTTAATTTTATTATTTACCCAAAAGTCATTCAAGTGCAGGTTAATTTCCATGTGATTGTATGGTTTCAAGTGGTTTTCTATGTATTGAATTGTAATTTTGTCAAGCTGTGGTCTTTGTGATTGGTATGGTTTGAGGATTTTTGAATTTGCTGGGGATTGTTTTATTTCTGATTGTATAGTCAATTTGAGAGTATGTGCCATGTGGTGATGAGAAGAATGTATATTATGATGTTTTTAGATGGAGAGTTCTGTAGATGTCTACTAGGACTCTGGTCAAGTGCTGAATTTAGGTTTAAATATTTTTGTTTATTTTCTGCCTCAATAATCTGTCTAATAGTATCTGTGAGGTCTTTTAGCCTTCTACTATTGTGTCAGAATCTACATCTCTTCTTAGGTCTCTAAGAACTTGTTTTATTTATGTGTACCAATACATTTTTTATAACACCTTTTTCTCTTCTGTTTTTTTTTTTTCCCATAAGCATATTTTCAAGTGCACACAGTGTGCCCAAGGATACTCCTTAGATTTTGAGTGTCTGCTGAAATTCAGATGTCCAAGAATTTAAGAATATATCAAAAGACCTGGCTTTTGTAGGAGAAAATACAAATTAGAAATAAGAGGATTTATTCTCCTATAGGAAAATAAGAAAATATATTTTGCTTATCTTTTTTAAAGCATTTAGATTTTATGTAGATATTTTTCTCTACTTTTTTGAAATATATATAAATCATATTAAAACAAAATGAACCTCTTATTATTCTTTGTGACTCAGGATTCTTTTTATTTAGATTCATTGCTTTGTTTTTGCTTTGGTGTAGATATATATATATATATATATGGTCTTTAAAGGAGACAAAGATTTGTTTAGATTAAAGCTCATATTAAGAACACGTAAGGCTGGGCGCAGTGGCTCATGCCTATAATCCCAGCACTTTGGGAGGCCGAGGCGGGCGGATCACCTGAGGTCAGGAATTTGAGACCAGTCTGACCAACATGGAGAAACTCCGTCTCTACTAAAAATACAAAAAATTAGCTCGGCATGGTTGTGCATGCCTGTAATCTCAGCTACTCGGGAGGCTGAGGCCAGAGAATTGCTTGAACCCAGGAGGTGGAGGTTGCAGTGAGCCGAGATCACCCCATCGCACTCTGGCCTGGGTAACAAAAGCGAAACTCCATCTCAAAAAAAAAAAAAAAAAAAAAACACAAAACATTGAGCACAAAGATAGGATGAAATTTAGCAATACAGAATGATAAAAGCTGAAAGATACTGAGTACATTTCTTTGACAGAAAACCGATTATACAAGGTATTAGCATAGTTACGTGTAGTGTTTGTAGACAACCTGCATTCATATAAATTAAACAGCATTTTCTTCAGTAGTATGAATATAAGGCCAAAACATTTACTTTGACTGAATACTCATTAAATAGTCATTTTAATATTGCTGTTCATACTTTTGAAACATATAAAGTATATATACATATAAAAAATATAGTGTTTTAACTGAATTATGGCTACAGACAATTTAAAAAATTCTTACATGCCTTATATCTAATACATTAGTTATTTATACTTAGATATTTATTTCTAATATCCAAATAAAATTTACTACCAAATTGCTAAAGTAGATATTAGTCTGACATGTTTATTAACTTATCTAATAGGGATAACTATAGGTAAGCATAATTACAGTGTCTTCTTTTTTGAGACAGAGTTTCGCTCTTGTCACCCCGGCTGGAGTGCAATGGCATGGTCTCGGCTCACTACATCCTCCACCTCCTGGGCTCAGGTGATTCTCCTGCCTCAGCCTCCCTAGTAGCTGGGATTACAGACACCCACCACCATGCCTGGCTAATTTTTGTATTTTTAGTAGAGACGGGGTTTCACCGTGTTGTGCAGGCTGGTCTCAAACTCCTGAGCCCAGGAAGTTTGCCCACCTTGGCCTTCCAAAGTGCTGGGATTACAGGCATGAGCCACCATGCCCAGCCTATTTATAGCGTCTTTCATTTCACTATGTTGGAATGCTGCTATTACAGGAGAAATAAACACAGATGATGTGGCCACCGCAAAACCATAATAGCTCTTTAGTTAGCTATGTGGCAAGCTTAAATACATTCCACTATATGAACAAAGTCAGATTATACATCTTCATCAAAAGTGCTGGTGGAAATTGTGAGATGTATTTCAATATATAACCCCCCATTCAATGGCTAGGAGATGAGAGAGCAGCAGAGATGGAAGAGAAATCTTATAAAATTCTGCTGAGAATATATCCCTTTTCTTCATAATGCTCATGTTTCTCATGCTGAGAGTAGCTGTGCACTTTGGTTGTTTAGAGAGAAATTCCTTTTAAGAGAATATTTTCTGGCTGACTTGATCAATCTTATATCTAAATTGAGTTTTTGTTTGTTTGTTTGTTTTTGAGATAGAATCTCACTCTGTCACCCAGGCTGGAGTGCAGTGGCGCAATCTCGACTCACTACAACTTCCACTTCCCAGGTTCAAGTGATTTTCCTGCCTCAGCCTCCCGAGTAGCTGGGACTACAGGCTTGTGCCACCAAGCCTGGCTAATTTTTTATATTTTTAGTAGAGATGGAGTTTCACCGTGTTAGCCAGGATGGTCTCGATCTCCTGACCTCATGATCCACCTGCCTTGGCCTCTTAAAGTGCTGGGATTACAGGCGTGAGCCACCATGCCCGGCCTAAACTGAGTTTTTACTTAAAATGCATTTAACTTTTTTTTTTCTCTAAGCATAATCTTGCTCAGACTGAGAGCTGTTTTTCTGTCCAATGCTTTGGGTGTCTGCACTATTAAATATTCCCTGTTGTCTGTGAATGAGGTGGGCTGTCACAGTGAGAAATTTTGGAGCTATCTGTACTTGGACTTAATGTTGGAAATCCAGCAGTAGTTTTTCCATGTCACATTGTAAATAAAAACTGAGGCTGAATTACTGTTCCAATGTCCATTAATGTAAAGGTGCAGTTCTCCCCAGGAGGCCTGCAGGCTCTCCTCCTGCAGCTCAGGCTTCCCTCTCTGGGGTGACACTGGAGTGCTGCTGTGGCAGTTGTGGTTTATGTAAGATGTGAGCTTTCAGATGTGAGCCCTGTGCAGTGTGCTCTGCCTCAATGGCAGATGGTAGTGGTCAAGAGAGGACACTAGCTAACGGAGAGGGCAAGCAGGAGAGATGTAGCCAAGTGCTCAGGGAGTAGAGAGCCATTGCTTTAAAGTGTAAATAGCCAAAAAGATAGCACTCTATTCAACCATTTTTGTAGGAGATTGAGAGCCTACCTTCAGCAGGCACCTGGATTCAAGTTGCAAAATTACCTCCTTTCATGAAGATGTGAAAAGTTTATTTTGTCATTGAACATAACTGATTAGCCTGCATGGCTAGCCTTCCCAATTACCAGGTGAATTTAGGATGAACTGTGTATGACATGGTGCTATACATTTTTCTACTTGTGAACTAATTACGGTTACTGTCTTTCTATCTTTTCAGTCTCTTAAGCAGATTGACTGTGATGCATGTCACATTCAGGTTTAATTGTGTAATAAAACAGTTTTATGTCTGTTCTATTGTGGAGTTTCTCTGGGGCTGAAGAAAATTTATCTTTTAATTATGTTTCACAAAAACTGTCTAGAATTATCAGACATGATATATAAATATAAGGTGCCACCCAAGCTTTACTCTAGAGGAAACTTTCCCTCTCAGGCTATCAGTCAATTCACAATTGTGCTGCAAAGTGCATACTGTCCCCTAAATATGCAGGCAGAATTGCTTCTCTGCCAATTTGGTATCTTTAATCCTCCACAGTAACTTTTAGAGAAGCTAGATCAGAATTC